>NC_000003.12:194309572-194460571 GCF_000001405.40 Homo sapiens
TAATCTTACTGAATGTATTTTCTTTGTTGTAAGGCATGCAATTTTTTTTTCTTTTTTAGAAAACACAAGCTATCAATGATCTTAGTGTAAAATAAGTGCAGGATCCTGCACTCAGAGGGAAAGCCAATTGCATACAGAATGATGATTCCCTATAAACAAAAATTCCTGAATAAGATTAAGAGGGTCATAGTGGGCCACAAGCTGACAGTGCAACAGTAACCCTGTGCAGGGAAGCGGGTGGTCCCTAAGAGACCAGGCTTCTGAGTGTATGCTATCTTATTTCAGCCCTCCATGAAGCTTCGTGGTTTAGCTTTACAATGGCCCCTAGAGAAGATCTTACTAAGAGCTGTAGAAAAAGGTTGCGTTGTGCTTAACTGCAATCCTTTCACATGTGAGAGCAAGCTAACATACATCCGTTAGACACCTACTGTTTTCAGAATCCTGCCAGAGGAGCAGTAGGTCTTTTTCCTCAGTGGTTTTCTCCCACCCACAGTCACCAGTGTAGATAGAAGCCCTTGGAACCACGTTCCGCAGCAGCACAACAGGTGGGGCTTGGGAAGACAGTGCATCTCCTGCTAGCCAGGCTGCCCAGACCCTGGGGTGAGTGTCCAAGTAGGTCTTGGACTACCCTCTTCCCCCAGCTTTTAGAAAATTCTCACCCAATTGGACTGCTGTGAGGGGGACCTGATCTGAACCCTCAAACTCCTGCTCTGCAAAGCCTAGATCAGACAGAGGCCCAGCCTCAAAAGCACCTCACTGTTCAGGCCACACAGGCAAGCTCCCGGAAGCTGGGCATGGAGCACTGCCACACGGTATGGTCCTAATTCTCCTGTCTCATCCTCCGCAGCCTTTGCTCCTGGAGCGGCTGTGTTGGGTGTTCTGGCACCAGTGGCCACACGAGCCATGCTGGCCCCTTTCCCTGACATTTTTTAAATATAAATTTTTAAATGTGTCTTTGAGATGAAAGCAGGAATGCCAAAAGTAGGCCGACGCTTTCTTGTGTTCAATTACAGCCCTGGGGAGTACCCCACACAAGGAACTGCTCAGAGCTCCAGCCAAGATGAAATCTGCTTTTCCAATAAGCACTTCAAATGGCAGGGGATGTTGTTGGCTGGCTTCAGCAACTGGGAGGCCAACAGTTAATAGGGCTGGGCACAGAGGCAGGGCTGCCCGCCATCAGGGGAAATCTGAAGCTGCCTTTCACAGCAGCTTTCACCGCAACTGAAGTTACAAGACACTTTTCTGGCTCCCCCAAGCCAGTGGCATGAACCCACCTTTGGACTTCATTGAAAAGAACTTCCAAGATTTAATCTTCCAAGATTAAAGATTTTGATATCCAATGTATGGAGAATTAATTACTCTCTATACAGTTTTTCTTCATTATTTTCTCAGGCCAAATTCCTTTACAGTAAGTGTTAGGCATGTCCAAATTATTTTATTGGACTGGAATTTTGTTGGTTTGAATATAGGCCATGCCAGAAATGCTGATAAAATGAAATGAGGATACTGATGGTGGTGGTGAGGATGGATGGATGGATGCGTGGATCGATGGATAGATGGATGGATGGATGCATGCATGGATGGATGGATGGATGGATGCATGGATGGATGGATGCATGGATGGATGGATGGATGCATGCATGGAAGAATGGATGGATAGATGGATGGATGGATGGATGGATAGATGGATGCATGGATGGATGCATGGATGGATGGATGGATGCATGGATAGATGGATGGATACATAGATTGGCTGGTAGTAGAAGTAGTGGCAGTGTTATAAGCTAAGTAGGGAAAGGTCTAACAGCTCCATTTCCCAAACCTGGAAGCTGAAATTCCACAAAGCAAATGACTGGCCCAAGCTTACCACAGGTGAGCCTGACGTAGAACCCAAGCCTTCTAAGTTATGCACTCCTCAAGACACCAACTTGTACTTCAGTAATCTGTGTCACGCTGTGACTGCATATCCATGTCCTGCCCTGGCACAGAGCTTTCCAGACTCAGTCACAGTCATAGGTGCATTTTGCCTGGTTTAGTTACTAAGTATTGGCCAATTATCAAGTCATGAAGGGAATCGTCACCAGGACTCGGGATTCCAGCTTCATTCTTGAATCCCTAAAGCCATTCCTGGATTTGAACACATATTTCCTGACCCGTTAGGTAGAAGAAGAAGCACCAGGGTAAACAGCAGCGATTTCCAAATTGCGGTGTGGATAAAGGATTTGTTAAAATACGTATTCCTGGGCCTCATTTCCCTGCCAGGTTCTGAATGAGGAGGTCTGAAGCAGGTGCAGGAAATACAGGTTCAATAGCAAAACACTTAACCTCTTTGAAGTCTCAGTCCAAATGTCACCTGTGTAAGGTTTATCCTGACCACTCTATCTAAAATTGCAACACACATACAACCTCGTCACTCCCCAGCACCTCACCCTGCTCTCCTTTTCCCCCTAGTGCTCTCACCTGTTAGATATTGACTTGTTTCTTTTTAATTTTTTTTTTTTTGAGACAGGGTCTCTCTCTGTCGCCCAGGCTGGAGTGCAGTGGCACAATTACGGCTCACTGCAGTGTCAACCTCCTGGGCTAAGACAATCCTCCTACCTCAGGCTCTCAAGCAGTTGGGGCTACAGGTGCACCACCACACTCAGCTAATTTTTGTATATTTTGGTAGAGATGTGGTTTCACCATGTTGCCCAGGCTGGTCTCGAACTCCTGGGCTCAAGTGATCCTTCCACCTCAGACTCCCAAAGTGTTGGGATTACAAGCATGAGCCACAGCACCCGGCTGACTTATTGCTTATACTTGTTTGTTCTTGGCCTCCTTTGGCCAGGACCTGTCTTCCTCATTGCTGAATCCCATGAGCCTGGAGCCATGCCTAGGTCAGTAACTCCCTGTTGAAAACAACAGAGACTGAAGGAAGAAGTAACTATAATTAATGCAGGTGGTTCGAGATGCACACTTGGAGAAACACTGCTCCAAGAGCATGAAGTTGGCACCAGCCTGACGGGGGTTGGGTCCCAGCTCTACCCACCTGCTGTGTGACTTCAGACAATTTCAGCCTCCTGCGCATCAGTTCTCTCTCATCTGTGAAATGGAGACAATCCTTCTATCTTAGGGCTGCAACACAAGGATCCAGTAATATAACCAGGCACAGAGCAGGACGCTGCAGCGATACTCCCTCCCTTATCTTCTGGGTGGAATTTTGCAAGCAACGGTGTCTGAGCAGAAAATGAATCTGAAGCCTCCCAGGGGGGAGGGAGCACATTCTGTTTCTCATCAGGCGGAGAGGCGGGGAGGAAGAGTGAATGGAGGTCACCCATCGAGGGGAGTGTATAAGTCATCCCTGCCGGCTACCTCTGCAGCTCACAGGACACACGTTCACCTCCCTCCCTCCCTCCTTCCCTTCCCACCAGCAGAAATGAACAAGCAGTTTCTCTGAGTAAACAGATGATAAATCACTGGCTAGAATCAGTACTCCCGCCAAAGCAGCATCATTGGAGATCTCAGGCAGAGCAAGCGCACGTGCTTGGGGACTGCAATTTGGGTTTAGAGGCAGCCCTGCCAGGCCTGCACACTGCCGGGTGAGCATTCCTCCCCAAACAGCCCAGCCCGCTTCCCCGGGGCTCTTGGAGTAAGTCCCGCAGACTCTTGCCAGCCCCACCTGGAAGGACTTAAGCTCCAGCGTGGGGGATGCGGGTGAGATGGGAACGAGGATTTCCTGACAGCGATCCTGGAATGGGTGACTGAGCTTATAGACTTTTTCTCTGAGTTTTATGAAGCAGATAGGATTTGGAGGTAAAGAGACAAAATAAAAAATGTCTACACACACACACACACACACACACACACACACACACACACACACACAAAGACAAACACATTATACACCCCAAAGAGAGGAAAAGAGAACAGCCCCTGCAGAGGGGGATCAGGGCATCTGTCCACATGGATGTCAGGACAGTGGCGGGGACACACAATCCAGAGTCCAGAGCCCACGTCCAAGCTCCAGCTCCACCACTCACTGTCCAGTGACCTTGGACCAGTCTCTCTCCCAGCCTCCTCTCGGGGTTTCTTCCTCTTGAAGCACGAGCATGCATCCCTGATGCTCCCTGAGCTGATGTTTCATGGGTCTCTGATTTCCAGTTGGGCCCTGGCCAGGCGCATTGCGGAGGCAGTAGGGAAACTTGCCCAAATGTGTGGCCACCCCAATCTTCTTGGCCAGCCCCCAGCCCCAGCTGAGATCCAATTCAAAGCTTGGACCTTTACTTTCAGAGTCTACGATGGAAGGAGCAGGATTCGTACTGACGTCCCACACCTTTTTCCTGGCTTTCTGTCCCCGGTGGAGGCTCTGTGCCTGGCAGGCTAAACGCCCTCTGAGCTCTTAGAGGCAGTTTCCACCCTCAGCCCCTGCCCCAGCTGTGACAGCCTCAGGGTCAGGCTGAGCCCTGGAACCGTATCTGCTCATCTGGATTCAAGGAGAGACTACTGTTCTTCAAAGTAACCCCACTCCCGGTGGAACCCAGCCGCCACTCCCACAGGGCTGTCCAAAGTATCCCACTAGAGACCCCAGCAGGAGCTTCTGAGGAATTAGCGTGGAAAGGGATCTGCCAGGGTCTGGTTGTGTGACCTTGAGCAAGTCCCTTACCCTCTCTGGGTCTCAATTTCCCCACCTGGCTGGGCTGGCTCTGTGCCATCTGCCCAATGCCCTGTCTGGCCGCTGGCAGCCTCTCCCTCCCTGGGGCTGTAGGGAATGCTCCCCTCACTGGCCAGCCAGGGGTGGGGTTCAAATGGGGGAAGCCAGGAGCAACCCTTGCAGTCAGGGCTCCAGGCAGGAATCAGAAGAGAAGCCTCCGCCTCTTCTCCCCAGCAACATCTCTTCCCATCTTAGAATTATGGGCTGGCAAAGCCAGGGAGGCTATCAGGCATCATCCAAACCATTATGTACATGGCCTTCCTCCAAATGAAATCTCACACAAATATCAGATTGGAGGTTTGGGAATGGGGATAAGGGGATGGGCAGAGATGAAATATGGCGTGGAACATTTATGATAAAGACAGCTCTGGGCCAGGCACGGGGTGGTTCACACCTGTAATCCCAGCATTTTGGGAAGCCAAAGCAGGAGGATTGCTTGAGACCAGCCTGGGCTACACAGTGGGACTCCGTCTCTACAAAAAATAAAAAAAAATTAGCTGGGCGTGGTGGCGCATGCCTGTAATTCCAGCCTCTCAGGAGGCTGAGGTGGGACAATCGCTTGAGCCTGGGAGGTCAAGGATGCAGTGAGCTGCGGTCACGCCACTGCACTTCCAGCCTGGGTGACAGAGCAAGACCCTGTCTCAAAAAAAAAAAAAAAAAAAAAAAGACAGTTCTGGCGTCCTGGTTGGGGAAACTCCTCCAGCCATGGAAGACCCTTCCAGCCAGCTGGGGCAGCTAGACAAGACAGCGTTGCTCTACTCGGCTGAGTTCTCCTCTCCAGAATCAACTCCCATCGCTGCTTAAAGGGAGTAATGTGGCTGTGGGGGACAGAACACTAGAGTTTCATCAGCAACCTCGTCACCCCCAACATACAAAACGCTCCTTACAAACGCAGTCCTATCTGTGCTGCTAAAGAAGGCAATCCCCCCTTCACCATCCCATCTCTTCCACTTCTGTGCATGAGAACGCATAGGCAGGAAGTATCTGATCCACACGGCTCAGATGAGAGAAAAAGGAGGAGCAGGAACAGGAAAGGAACTGAGCAGAGGAGAGACCCAGAAAGGGAAAGGTGAGAGGTGGTTCTTGCGGCTGACTTGGCAAAGCCCCAGGCCTGTGGGATTTTCCGGGACCCTCCGTGTTCTGAAAAGGCAGGGGAGGGGCAGAGAACAGCCAGGGAAGATGGAAAAGGAAACTGGTGTCCTGCCGGGTGGAAATGGGGGAGAAACTCTCGCGTGAGTGTCATCAGAGCAGCATGAGCAAGGGCTCGGTCCCAGAGGTGAGCCCGGCGTTCTGCCTGGAGGGGGCGGGCAGCAGGGCTGGCCAGGGTGAAGCAACCTGTGCCGAGCGGCTGCAAAGGCCGCGTCTCCCCAGCACGGAGCACATCACTGACGTCAAGCGCGGCGAGGCCGCGGCCAGCATTAATTAGGTGCCGATGCACGGGGGCGGGCCGGCCTGGGCCAGAAGCCGCTCCCGGAGGCTCCGACCCCCGGGGCTTCGCGCCGCCTCCCAGCCCGGAGCTCCTCCAGCCGCTGGCGAGAGGAGGCTGAACCGCAGCCGGCCTCCCAGCGGTGCCACAGCGCGCCCTAGTGGCCGTCGTCCGGAAAGCGCCGTCAGAAGAATCGCAGGCTCGCAGCCTGGGAGCCCCGCAGCCCTCATCTTCTGTCCGCCCTAAGGCTCATTGACTTCACATTAGAATCACTTGGGGAGACTGTAAAAATCCCGATGCCCGGGAGGCACCTATTCCGATTACATTAGAACCCCGACAAGCGGGCCCCAGGCCCCAGTATTTTTAAAAACTCTCTCGGTGCTTCCTATGCACCGCCCAGTTTAGAAGCTGTTGTCTTAAAGCAGTGGTTCTCAGAATTGAGCTCATGGGAGTCGCCTGGAGGGCTTGTTACATCACATATTGCTGGGCGCTACCCCAGAGTTTCTGACCCAATACTTCTGTAGCTTGGCCCTACTCGCTCTTACAAGGTTCCCAGGTGATGCCGATGCTGCCGCTCCGGGATCACACCTGGAGACCTAGTGCCAAACCCTCCTAATCAAGGCACCGACTCAGCCGGCACCGCGGGATCACCAGGGAGCTTGTTAGAAATGCAGGTTTAGAGACCCCGCCTCAGAACCATTGAGAGAGAATCTACATATTTTATTTTGCTTTTTATTGACCCATAATTGTACGTATTTCTGGGGTACAATGTGATGTTTTGATACATGTATGCATTGTGTAAAAATCAAATCAAGGTATTTAGCCTATCCATCATCTCATCTTTGCTAAAGAAATTGTAAATCTTTTCTACCTACTTTGCAATGTACAATACGGTACTGTTAACCACAGTCACCTTGCTGTGCCATAGAACACAAGAACTTCCTCCTCGCTGCAACTTTGTACTTGTTGACCAATCTTTCCCCATCCAACCCTGCTCCCAGCCTCTGGTAACCACTCTTCCACTCTCTCCTGCTAGAATCTTCATTTTCTCTAGACGCAGGTGATTCACCCAACATTAAGGTTTGAAAGTATTGCTCTAAACACCATTTGTGCAGGCCTTACACAATCAGGCTATGTTGACAGCTTGGAAGACCACTTCACATCCCCCACCCGGCCCCAAACCTGATCTCTGGATCAGAGAGCTGGATAGAATGTCCCAGATTATCTGATCCAATTCTTTTGCAGGACAGATGAGGGAAACTGAGGCCCAGAGAAGGGGATGAACTTGCCCAAGCTCCCTGGGTTCTAGGGTGGCCTGTCATCCTGGGTACCTCAAAGCTCATATGGTCATAAACAACCCCCTTCCTCCCCAGGAGGCAGCATGTGAGTTCTGCTCTTGATCCACCTATCAGGCGGCACGCACTCCAGGGGGGCTGTGGCGGCCCGGGCTCCATCCCGGCTGCTTGGGAGGGCACTGAAGCAGTGAGCAGAGACACAGGACATCGCATCAGAGAACATGGTACAAGGAAACCTGTGCAAGATGTTTAGGTTTGAAAGCTAGGTGTCAGCCACTGGGCCTCCATGCTGAGATTCATACTCCCATCTTGTTCATGATTATTCTGAATTCTCAGGGAAAATAGACAGGTCAGAAGCCTATCTTAGGGACACCGAAGCAAATCTGTACACACTAAGCATTCTGTCCCAACAGTGGGCTGGATGGCCACCTTCAGCCGCAGCTTATGGTGGGTTTCTGTCTTTTCGTCCTGTTACTTGGCTGGAGTTGAATGGCCAATGAAGTTGGGCATGAGTATGTGGACCCCAAGTTGTGCTGCCCTCGTAGACAAGTTAAATGAGCTAATGGTAAGCGCTGTCTATGGCCATTGTGTTAGTATATTTGTGCATTGCTATAAGGAAATGCCTGAGGCTGGTAATTTATAAGGAAACAAGGTTTAATTGGCTCACAATTCTGCAGACTGTTCAAGAAGCATGGCGTCAGCATCTGGTCCTGGTAAGAACCTTGGGAAGCTTCCACTCATGGTGAAAGGTGGAAGGCAAAAGGGGAGCAGGCACATCACATGGCAAGAGTAGGAGCAAGGGGTTGGGGGAGGTCCCAGACTCTTTTAAACAACCAGATCTCACATGAACTAACTGACCAAGAACTCACTTATCACCAAGGGGTGTGCTTAACCATTCACGAGGGGCCTTCCCCCATGATCCACTCACCTCCTACCAGGCCCCACCCCCAAAATGGGAATCACCTTTCAACATGATAATCGAAGGGGACAAATATCCAAACCACGTTATTCCCCGCCCAGGACCCAAATATCATGTCTTTTTCACATTTCAAAATACAATCATGCCTTTGCAATAGTCCCCCTAAGTCTTAACTTGTTCCAGAATTAATCCAAAAGTCCAAGTCTCATCTGAGACCCAAGGCATGTTCCTTCCACCTATATGCCTGTAAAATCAAAACAAGTTATTTACTTCCAAGATACAATGGTGGCACAGGCATTGGGTAGATATTCCCATTCTAAAAGGGAGAAATTGACCCAAAGGAAGGGGCTACCAGACCCACCCAAGTCTGAAACCCATTGGGGCAGTCATTAAACCTTAAAGCTCCAAAATGATCCTTGATCCCATGTCCTGCATCCTGGGTGCACTGGTTCAAGGGATGGGCCCCCAAGGCCTTGAGCAGCACTGCCCCTGTGGCTTTTCTGGGTCTAGCCCTGTGGCTGCTCTCATGGGTTGGAGTTGAGTGCCTGTGGCTTTTCCATGCTCAGTATGCAAGCTGTCAGTGGCTCTATCATTCTGGGGTCTGGAGGACATCAGCCACCTTCCCACAGCTCCACTAGGCAGTGTCCTGGTGGGGGGTCTGTGTGGGGGATCCAACCCCCATTTCCCCTCCACACTGCCCTAGTAGAGTTTCTCTGGTGGGGGCTCCACCCCTGCAGCAGGCTTCTGCCTGGGCAGCCACCTTAGGCTTGCTGATTCATCCTCTGAAATTTAGGTGGAAGTTGCCAAGCCTCCTTCACACTTACATTCTGTGTGCCTGCAGGCTTAACACCAAGTGGAAACTGCCAAGGCTTATGGCAGCTTGCGTTCTCCAAAGCAGCAACTGGAGCTGTACCTGGGCCTGGGGTCTTTTGAGCCAGCAGAGATGTGGCAAGCAGTGTCCTGAGGCTGAACTGGACAACAGTGCCCCATACCTGGCCCCTGAACCCATTCTTTCCTCCTAGGCCCCTGAGCATGAGATGGGAAGAGCTATCTCCAAGACCTCTGAAATGCCTTTGAGAACTTTTCCCCATTGTATTGGATATTAGCATTTGGCTCCCTTTTAGTCATGCTAATGTCTCTAGCAAATGATTGCTACACTGGCTGCTTGGATTCCGCTCCTGAAAATGCTTCTTCTTTCCCTGCTGCATGGCTAGGCTACGAACTTTTATGCCCTGCTTCCTTTCATGTATAAGTTCCAACTTTAAGTCATTTCTTTACACCCATATCTGATCGTAGGCTGTTAGAAGCAGCCACGTCACTTCTTGATACTTAGAAATTTCTTCTGCCAGCTGCCACCAAATAAGTTCAACCTTCCACAAACCCCTAGGACATGAACACAATCCATCCAGGCTCTTTGCTAGGGAATAACACAGGTGATCTTTGCTTCAGCTCCCAATAACTTTCTCATTTCCATCTGAGACTTTGTCAGCTTGGACTTCACTGTCCATATCTCTATCAGCATTTTTGTCACAACCATAGATGTTCCAGACGTTCCCTCATCTTCCTGTCTTCTTCTGAGCTCTCCAGTCTCTTCCACCCTCTGCCCGTTACTCAGTTCCACATCTTTAGGTATTTTTATGGCGATACTCTATTCACTATACCAATTTTCTGTGTTAGTCCGTTTGTGCATTGCTATTAAAAATGCCTGAGACTGGGAAATTTATAAAGAAAAGAGGTTTAATTGGGTCACAATTCTGCAGGCTGTAAAAGAAGCATGGTGCCAGCATCTGGTTCTGCTAAAGACCTCAGGAAGCTTCCACTCATGGTGGAAGAAGAAAGGGGAGCAGGCACATCACATGGTGAGAGTGGGAGCAAGAGAGAGAGAAAGGGGAGGTCCCAGATGCTTAAACAACGAGATCTCACATGAACTAACTGAGCAAGAACTCATATCACCAAGAGGATGGTGCTAACCTACTCTTAAGGGATCTTCCCCCATGATCCACTCACCTCCCAGCAGGCCCCACTTCCAACACTGGGAATCACATTGCAACATGAGATTTGGAGAGGACAAAAATCCAAGCCATATCAGCCATTATTCATGCGGGCAGTCTGGGACACACAGAGACCCATAATAGCCTGTTGTGGGCACAGCATTTAGAGTCCAGATGGAGAAACTAGACAAACACATGAATAAGGGACAGAGAAATAGATATCACAAGACTGACGAGGTTTCAATGCCACGGAGGCAGTGATGACACTTGGAGCAGGCAGACACTGGAGAAATGCATGGCCATGGGTCAGGAAAACCAGAGCAGGCTTCCTGGAGGTGGTGTGGCTATCCCAGCCTAGATATGATGGAGCTTGGACATGAACCCTGGCCTGCCCGAATTTGGACCTCATACTCCTAACCACTCCTTTACCCTGTCCTCAAAGAGGGCAGGAGTGAGACCCGCCCCATGGCCCATCTGAGATCTGTAAACAGGATGTCTGGCTGGAAAAGAGGGTTCCCACGGAGACAGCCAAGGTTGAAAAGGTTGAAAAGGGCCAGGAGGGAGGGTGTTGAAGTTAAGGTTGATGAGCTCAGGCTTTATCCAGGATCCCGCAGAAAAGCCATCTGTGTTGTGATGCAGGAGTCAGACACTGATGGAAGTTTCAGGAAGACAGAATCTTTGTAGAGGCCAGCACATGGCTGGTGTGCAAAACCAGCCCTGGGGCCTGTGATGCAAGCATCATGAATGCTCTTTATATGGTTATAGCATTTTGCAGGGCTGGATTTTAACATTCTGAATTCATTTCCATTCATTCCCAAAAAGCTCTGGGAAATGACTAACTTTTAATTATTAAGTAAAAACGGGGTGCGTATTTGTTTTCCTGCTGTGGGTCTTGGTCTTTTACATTCTCTGCTACACCACTCTGTTATCAACTTTACAGAAAACAAAGAAACTGGAATTAAACATTAACCAGGATCATTGAGAATGTCACAGAAATGCACAGCCCTGGGGTTAGGACAGGGGAGGCCCCTCATTCTCTGGTTGGCTGTTCAAACAGAAAAGGAGCCTGGGAGCACGCCCCGTCTCCAAGGGACTGGGGTCGGGGGTGAGGTGATTTCAAGGTGCACTTTCCACTCCAGTCAACATTTCCTGAGTTCCTGTGTGAGGGCTGGCCTCGGTGCTAGGAATCTGGGTACACGAGGGCTGAGACAGGGTCCCAGTCCTGGAGACATTCACATCGCCTGTGAGAAGGGCCCTCACAGAGGCAGGGACAGACGGCCAAGGAAAGCAGAATGGGTAGTGATGTGTTTCATCCTAGAGGACGCAGCAATTGCTGTAGGTCTTAAAGAATCAAAAGAATCAATAGACTTTTTACTAGTAAAAAAGAGAGGGCCAACTGGGCATGGTGGCTCACACCTGTAATCCCAGCACCTTGGGAGGCTGAGGTGGGCGGATCAATTGAGGTCAGGAGTTTGAAACCAGCTGGGCCAACATGGTGAAACCCCATCTCTACTAAAAATACAAAAATTAGTTGAGCATAGTGGTGGGCACCTGTAATCCCAGTTACTCAGAGGCTGAGGCAAGAGAATTGCTTGAACCTGGGATGCAGAGGTTGCAGGGAGCTGAGATCAAGCCACTGCACTCCAACCTGGGCAACAGAGGGAGACTTCATCTCAGAAAAAAAAAAGAGGGGGAGGCAGTTCAGGCAGAGGGAACAGCATGAACGAGCAGGCAGAGGACCTGCTGCCATCCTCCTAGAAGGAAATATATCACCAGGGGTCCAGCACAACAGGAAGCCCACTAGTATTGCAAACAGAGGGAATTTAATCCAGGGGACTGGCTGCATAGATATAGGTGGTACAAAAACTGACAAGGCAAAGCAGACAGCGAGCAGACCAGTGTGCAGGGTGTGTTTGGGAAGTGACTGGTAGCCTGGTAATGGGGTGTGGGGTGTACAGCGGGGGGAGGGGTGTGTAGAGGATGGCACAGGGCTGGAAGGCAGCTTGGGAGCAGAGTGGAAAGGCTGGTCCTACGGTGCATGCTTGATTTGCAAAGTTACAGAGCCTCGTCTAAAGCATGGCCTGGTGGGCTTGAGCAGCCGTGGGAGGGTGGGCTGCTGGGCTGGCCTTGGTGGGAGGCTGCTGGGGTTGACCAGGGCAGGACTCGCCCAAGGCTGCTGCCAGAGAGGAGAGGTGGGGTGGGCTCAGAGACATTCCCAAGGCTCAGTCTTCTGGCTCAGTGACGAATTGAGTGGGGGGAGGGACGTCAACAAGTCTGAACACTCTGACCCGGTGCCATCCTCCTAGAAGGAAGTGTATCAGCCAGGGGCCCGGCCCATCAGGAACCATGCTAGTATTTCCAACAGAGGGAGTTTAATCCAGGGGACTGGTTGCATCGGTGGTATAAAAACTGAGAAGGCAAACGAGATGGTGAGCAGCCCCGAGGTGAGCAATGGGAGGACGGCGCTGCACCATTTGGAGCAGGAGGGACAGAAAAGGGAAGCAGGTGGAGCCCGGAGGCCGGGAGCTGCCCACCAGGCAGAAGCCACAGCAGACCTGCGCAGTGGGAACTGGCGCCGGGGAGGCGCAAGCCCTGCTAGAGATGCTTCCTAGAGCAGGGACCCAGGGGAGGAAATGCCCCGGCGTCTCCCCTCCGCCCACCCTCTCCTCACCTGCTATTGGCCAAACCTACCTGGAGCAAGGGACCTGGGGAGCGTAACCCTGAGATACAAGCCAGCCCGAGAAGAATGGGCATGTGTGTGGGAGCAGCGGGCCGACAGGAGCACAGGAACACCAGAGGAAGCAGCTGCGGAGAAGAGACCGTGCGTCCTGATCTGAAGATGGGAAGCGAGAGGTCCCTCCAGGAAGGAATGTCTAGTTTGCAGCAGCATAGAGAGTAGGATGGCTGGGGAGGTAGATGTGGCAGGCGCGACTGTAGCTCTCTGTCTCAGGTTTTCTCAACCCAGGGAAAAGCTGATTAATGCCTGAGTCACTCTGTCCGCGAGCTGAGCCTCCTGGGTGGGGCAGGGCAAGGTGGTATCGGGTGATTCGGGGATGTGCCAGCCTCAGGGAGGGGAGAGAGGATAGTGTGCGGGAAACAGAGCTGGCCTGGAGAGGCTGTCACGCCCACAGCATCACCCCAGTTCTGACGGCAAAGCTGTGTGACTTTGAGCAAGTGAATGATGCGCTCTGGGCTTCGATTTCCTCGTCATCACCAACCCCTGCCTCCAGCACAAGCTGCTCCACACCAGGCAACCGCCTGTAGTTGCCCAAACTCTGTGCTTCCTCAACACCCAGGCCTGCAGTAGACGCCACCCCCGACCTGGAATCTCCTTCCCCATTCCCACACGTCTTACTTTCTCCAGTCTTTCAGATTCAGTCCTAGCAGACTCCCAGCACTTTGGGAGGCCGAGGCGGGCAGATCACGAGGCCAAGAGATTGAGACCATCCTGGCCAACGTGGTGAAACCCTGTCTCTACTAAAAACTCAAAAATTAGCCGGGCGTGGTGGCGCACGCCTGTAGTCCCAGCTGCTCAGGAGGCTGAGGCAGGAGAATCGCTTGAATCCAGGAGGCGGAGGTTACAGTGAGCCGAGATCGCGCCACTGTACTCCAGCCTGGGGACAGAGTGAGATTCCATCTCAAAAAACATAAATAAATAAAAAATAAACCCCCCCCCACACACAGCAAAAACAAATCACAAAGACAAAAACGAAATCCCTTCAATGCCCATTTCCTGAATCAACTGCATCCCCCAGGAACTGCTTTGGGATTTTACTTATTATTTGGGATTATTTGTGCTCATTTCCCCTGTACCAAAAGTCAGAATCAAGTTAGCTGCGCTGTGTCTCTGTCACAAATGTCTGCTTGTATAAATAGGAGGGGGTACAAGCATGTGTCCACACACGCACACACGCCTCTCTCCGGATAAAGAGGTCTCGGGGTGAGGATTCTGGAACCCGTCCTTCCACACCTACTGCGTCTGGTCACTGTCTCCGAGGCTGACATTCCTCACGCCGAGGGATGGGCAGGCAGAAGGCTGCAGGCAGTGCGCCAGCCAGGTCAGCTTACAGCGAGCTGTCAACCCAGTCACTGACGCCTCAGCGAGGCCATAAATAACAGCGGTGAAGCTGCAGCAGGCCACCCGGGCCTCCCCCAAACCACTCCTCTGCCATCAATCTCGCCTGATGACTGCTTGGCGTTCAGGCTTCCGCGTGACCCGACCACGGCCCCAAGCGTTCTTTGGGGCGCAGTGTCCCTTCCCAGGCACGGAGTGGGTCAGCCAGGAGCACACTGCCTCGCAAGGTCCCCGTGTCCTGCCAATGTACTTTCTGGATGCTGGAGGCAGGCTGAAAAAGACTCCCATCACTCAAAACCCCACCCCTCTCAAGACCGGCTCCAGAAAGCTGAGTTCCATCCCCGTTGTTGATCCGGTCATGGTGGACTCTGTACCAGAAACGATGCCACACAGCAACTGCTGCCCTCCGCCATGCAGCAGCGACTCACCCTGTGCCCAGGCTGCTCTTGTGTTCTTTGCAATGTGAGTGGGCAAAAGCCGACATATAAGGCAGCTCTTCCGCTCAGACTCCTTTTGTCCCGCCCTCAGCGGCAGGGACCTTATGTCCACGCCCTTGGTTCTGAGGCTCCAACTCTCACCACCCTAAAACATCCACCTAAAATCACAGACCACCACACATACACCCACACACCACATACACACACACCACACACACCATACACCCACACACCCGACACACAGACCACACACACACCACATACACACTACACACACACACCATACACACACACACCCGACACACAGACCACACACACACACATACACACTACACACACACACACACACACACCAGACACATACACCCACACACCACATACACACACACACACACACACACACCGACACACAGACTACACACACACCACATACACACACTACACACACACCACATACACACACACTACACATACAAAACACACCCGCCACACACACCACATACACACACACTACACACACCATACACACACACCACACACCACATACGCACACACACCACACACCCCACATAGACACACATACCATACACACACACCAGACACATGCACACCACACACACCACACACCACATACACACACTACACACACACCATACACACACCAGACACACACACCATACACCACACACATCACACACTACACACACACCAAACACATACACACACCACATACATACCACACACACATGCACACTCGCACACCACACACACACCACACAGATACACACCACACATACCACACAACACACACACATACACCCCCACACACATACACCACCACACCACACACATATACACCACACAGACCACATGCACCACACACACCATACACACATCACACACACACACCACACATACATACACCACATACACTACACACACCACACACACCACACGCACACTCACACACCACACCCCCCACATACTACACACACCACACATATTTACATGCACACACACACACACACACACACTTCCTCACTCACAAGCTCTCTCCTGAACTCTTGGGATTTGATTTCTGTAAAATGCTCACATGTCCCCACTCTACCAGCTAATGAGATAATTCCGTGATCTCATCAGCCTTCTAATAGGATTTTCATCACATCTCTCTGGATAAAAGCTATCTAAAGGCTCACCAAATGGTCCCTAGGCATTGCACTCTTTATCAGTACCCCCACTCCATCAAGTTAAGCTTCTGTGGCCACAGGGTGGCAGGAGGGAGGGGTCTTCCAGAGTCAAACCCCCTTACATCTGGGGAACTGAACTCCAAAGAGGCAGTGACTTCTGAAGGTCACAGGGTCAGATGGGGGCCCATCCGTCCAGAGTACGGTGCGTCTGGGGAAGAAGTAACCAAATCCAGTCCTTCCCCGAGGGGACAGAGGGCACACACGGGGAAGCCACGCCCCAGTCCAGGGCCACACAGAGGGGGCCTGTGGTGGACCCTGGTGGTGCTCCTGCAAGCCCCCCACCGGACCCCTTCCTGCGTCCGGCCCTTCCCCAGCCCCGGGGGGCTTCCATGGCTAACCCAGGCGCCTGCGACTTGCTTTGGGGCCCTGTCCTCAGGCCATTGCAGGGAAGTGGGGAGCAGCCTTTAGCCGTGGCGGACTGGGGAGGGGTCTAAAAGCCCAGCTCCCTTGCCTGAGTTGGGGCAAACTCTGAGAAATAATTTATACTCCAGAACTTTCCTGCGGGATCTAGCTAGGGCTTGTTCTTCCCGGGAAACTGTACCAGCGTGGCTTCCCCCAGCCCACCCGGGCTGCGCACTCCCGGCCTCCTTACTAGTTCCTCCTGGGATCATCTCCCTTCAATAAATCACCTGCGTCTGGGCCCTTAACGACTGCCTCCGGGGAGCCTGACCTAAGACACCAGGAAACGTGTGTGGAACAAACCGAAGGGCTCTGAGGATAACATCAGCCAGGGAGAAGAGCAAGTGGAATGGAGCACGGAGCACATGGTTAAAGGAAAAGGTTCGGGCAGAGGAGGAGCCTCGCCCGAAGGAGGGATGGAGAAGACACTGCACTTACACATCCACACACACAGCACACACCACACAACCACACACACAATCACACATACCGCACACACAACCACACACAATACACACCACACAACCACACACACCACACACAACCACAAACACCACACACCACACACAACACACACAACCACACACACAACACAACACACAACCACACACAACATACAACACACACAACCACACACCACACAACCACACACTGCAACCACACACACAATACACACAACACACAGCACACACCACACACAACACACAGCACACACCACACAACCACACACAGTCACACATACCACACACACCACACAACCACACACACAATCACACATACCACACACAACCACACACACAACACAGACACACAACCACACACACACCACACACCACACACAACCACACACCACACACAGCCACACACCACGCACAACCACACAACCACACACCACACACAACCACACACACAACACACACCACACACACAACCATACACAACCACACACAACACCATATAATCACACACACAATCACACATACCACGCACCACACATAACACACACCACACGACCACACACCACACAACCACACACACCACACACAACCACACATACCACACAACCACACCACACACCACACACACAACCACACAACCACACACCACACACCACACACAACCACACACACCACAACCACACACACAACACACACAACCACACACCACACAACCACACCCACCACAACCACACACACCTACACACACCACACACAACCACACAACCCCACACACAACCACACACAACCACACAACCACACACCACACACCACACACAACCACACAACACACAAACACACAACACACAACCACACACAACACACACCACACACAACCACACACCACACACAACATACACAACCGCACACACAACACACAACCACACAACACACAGCACACACAACCCCACACACACCACACAACCACACACCGCAACCACACACACAACACACACAACACAGCACACAGCACACAACCACACAGTCACATATACCACACACACAACACACACCACACAACCACACACCACACACACAATCACACATACCACACACACAACACACACAACCACACACACCACACACAACCACACAACCACACACAACACAATCACACATACCACGCACAACCACACATAACACACCACACAACCACACACCACACATACCACACACAACCACACATACCACACAACCACACACCACACGCACCACACACAACCACACAACACACCACACACCACACACAACCACACACCACACAAACATACAACACACAACCACACACCACACACACAACCACACAACCAACCACACACCACACACACCCACACACACCAACACAACACACAACCACACACCACACACACAACCACACAACCACACACCACACACAACCACACACACAACCACACACACCACACACAGCTACACACACCACATACACTACACACACAACCACACACACCACACACACACAACCACACAACGGTGTGGCTGAAGCCAGCAGAAATGAAAAGTCCTCTGGTACCTCCCCTTCAAACAGCTCACACTCATGCGGGTCACTGTGGCACGGCGCCCTCACACGCGCATCCGCAGAGCGCACCTGTCCCAGCGTGGCCAAGACCGCCTCTTTCACCCAGGGCCCTCTGTGGACGTTAGTCTGCTCTGAGTCACCCCTGGATAACTGAGGACTTGCCTGTCAAGTATGAAACATTTAGCACGTACAGTCCTTTGAGTGGAATTAGAGTGGAAGAGTGTAACTCAGCGTGTAAGAGTTGCCTGCTGCTGCTTTGAACAGAGGGTAATTGCAGCAGATGCCTTCAGCCCCTGCTCTTTTCAGCAGCCACTGTACAGGGCGGTTCCACCCCATCTCCCACCTCCCGGCCCAGCTCTCTGATGTCTCTGCCCGGTGGCGTTCCCCGATGCCCCTTTGCCTGAGCGCCGAAGCGTGGGGAGTGGAAGCTGGCGGTGGGAGCCGGTGGAGGCATGCGCGCCTCCTGTGCTTCAGGAAGGCAGCCCTGGAGACCTTCTGGATGCTTCCCAGGAAGGCCCCACAGCAGCCACCACAGCCAGCACGTTTTTCTCTACCGGTTTTCCCCCTTCCGCATCTCATGGTCCTGCTCCCTGGGATCATCGCCCAATTAAACTGCATCCAAGCCCTCGCACCAAGCTCTGCTTTCACGGGAATGCAAACTGAGACAGTATTATACCTGATGTTACCTTTTCCAAGGTAGCTGGGGTCATCGTTATTTCCCTCAGCTCTTACCTGTGCTGGAGTAGCGTGCTGCCCTCGGAAGCTACCAGGTACCCTCCGTGAAATGGCCCAGCTGTTCTTTGGGAGTTCGTGTCTGATTTTGCCATTTTTCTATCACTTTCTTAGTTGTTAGCAAGTCTTCCTCCAGCAGGACCGTTACCTTCCTCCAACTGATCATTTTTGTCTTTAATCTGCTATCGCCTTGAAATCACGTAACCAAACGTGATAGCCCCTGTCTGTTGTGAAGGTGAACAGATTCTGAAAGGAGGAATGTTCCTTGGAGCGGATGCATGAGCTTTCATTTCGGGCACTGGAAATTCATTTTGGCTGCTGAGGAGGTATTTTTATTTCCCTGGCTTAGAGCTCTATTGAGGACAGTGTAGAGGCTGGATAGTCAAACATCGTATTGAGTTCGTTCTTATATTTTAATTTAGCTATGGGATGTGTTTGTGGGTGAATGCAGTGAGTCTAATAGTACTTACCGCAAATGCCCTAGGGCCGTGGCTTGACATTTATTAGCATATGCCGATTTCCAACTTTTAGATCCAGTTTTTAAGACTCCAGAAGACTTCACAAGTGTGCCAGCTGCTCAGATGTGAAAACAATATCACACACCAAAAAAAATGGCGGCTTACATATGTCAGAGCAAAACTAAAATCAGTCCAGGGGTTGAATGCAAATCCCCCCCATTCAGCCCCCAAGTCTCACCCAGATGTCCCCTCTCCTCTCTGGAGAAGTTGCACGTCCCCTCTTGAGGGCAGGAGGAGGTACGTGTCCGTTTCGTCCTGGGAGGACTCCCTGGGATTCCTTGTGTAGGAAGAGTTCTGTGCTGGGGCTTGCTCCCTCCCCTGCAACTTTCCTGATCTCTGGGGCTCAGGGGCAGCCTCTGGTGCCTGGCTGATGGGCACAGCTGGCGAAGGCCACAGAGCAGCTGAGTGCTGGGGACAGGTGCAAGAGCAAACTCCAGCAGGTGTGTTGACTGTAATGACAGGGTCACTGATGCTGTCTCCCAAGTGTTTTCTGTGCTGCTGACAACTGGGGCAGGCGAAAGCACATGGGAATTTGTTGTTGGAAAGGTTACACGGGAGGGAGGGAGGGTGTGACTGTGGGCACCTCCCCGGGACGTGCAGTGAGTGGGCGTTTCTTTCTTGGATGGGCTCAGCGTGCATGGTGGCTGTGGGCTCCTTTTTGGAGAGGAACTCGAAGTCCAGGCAAAGAGAGGTTTACAGGCCTATGATGGGGTTACATCCTGATCAACTCATTGTTAGTCCAAAATATAAGTCAAAAATGCATTTAATACCCCAGTAAATCTATCATAAAGTCAGAAAATTGTAAGTTGAAGTCTCAAGGGCTGGATCATCTGTATTTCACTGGAACCGTGGCAAGAAGACCCCACAGACTGGCATTCTGGACACGGTTGCAGGTGAGAGGAGGGCTGCAGCTTGAGGGTCATGGTGGCCTGAAAGGACCTGGGGATGTGAAACGCTGTCATCGAGGGCTGGCGCGCACACAGGAGGTTGATGGGGGTGTGGCTGCAGGCTGAGTGTTGTTGGCTGCAGAGAGGTTGGGGGGTTGAGAGCGTGGTCATGGAGCTCAGTGGCTACAATGACACTCAATGCTCCTGAGGGTGGCGAAGCCTCAGCAGGGCTGGCTGAAAGCAAAGCAGGGCCGTTCAGTCATTTTCAGCTGTTGCACAGAGTGGCAGTGAGATGCTGACAACTTCACCCACGTGGGAATCCTCTGAGGCCACCTGAGAAGGAATCTCACAGATGAGAGCTTGGCTGGGGATGCAAAAGGCCCTGAGACAAGCTTACCACGTTGGTGGCTCCAGGGAGAGATTCCAAAAAGTTTGCAAAAGAAGAAAATGCATCATCCTTTAAAGAGGCGACGTAACTGACCTCCACGCTGAAATATGTGAGTTTCCCAAATTCATGATTCTCCAAGGAAGAACTGAAACCTGGGTATGAAAACTACTCAGCCTCTTGGGGGAGGGGTGTCTGGCAGAAGCTTGGAGCTGCTCCAGCTGGGCCCTGCTCCCAGAAGAGCAGGCTTGCAGAACAGGCCTGGGCATGGCCCAGCTCATTTGAACTGAGTTTCCCCTGTGTGCCATTGACTGGCCCAAAGAAGACATAAGAGGGAAGCTTCCCAGGGAGACTGATTTCCAATTTTATCATTTCCAATTCAAGCCATTTCTGGGAAAAGTTCCCATTGTCCTGAATGCTCAGTTCAACCAGGTGCACTAGGTTGTCCAGAATCCTGAGGGGTAGTATCTAATTCTGGTCTCTTTCAGCCAAGTGTACCAGGGTCGGCTAGCACCCTTGTCCCT
Source organism: Homo sapiens (assembly GCF_000001405.40). Classification (NCBI taxonomy): domain Eukaryota; kingdom Metazoa; phylum Chordata; class Mammalia; order Primates; family Hominidae; genus Homo; species Homo sapiens. Next base: position 194,331,132 of record NC_000003.12, read on the forward strand.
TGGGCAGGAAAGAAATGTCAGTATTGCTTAGGAAGTTTCACCAACTCTCAAGGTTATCAAATGGTCTCTTCTTTTGATTCACCTGTCATTCTGAAGACTGGATTTTCATTTCCACAGCTGGCAAGGTGGTGTCTGAGCACCTTGGTAGCCCATGTCATAAAGTGAGATCTCCAGAGACCCCCGAGCACACCAGGCCTTCCAGATTAGTAGTACATCTGCTTCAAAGGGCTTAGCCAGAGCCTCCACAGGCCACTTTTTCAACCTTGCAGGAGTATTAATGCTCCCCATCCGATCACAGGAATGTCCACGACCAGGAAATGGCTCTCTGAAGGCTGCCTCCATAGTCTCTGGAATTTCCATGACAGCCAGTGTGGCAAAGAAATCTTGCAAAGGCTGTTGCTGGAATAATCCATCCCACAGGACTGGAATCAAAGGACACAGCCAGGCCAGCCACAGAGTTCCAAGAAAAAAATAAAAAGCTCCCCGGATACAGTGACGGATGAAAACTGCCAGGAAAAAGGCTCAAGGAAAAAGGCTTCCCAGCTACCGTGGGACCTCAGCCCCGGATCCCCAGCTCTGGAAGGAAGCACATCCTTCACGATGGCCCGCAATCACAGCTTCCACGGCACGGAGATCGTGGAAGTGAAGGCTCTGCGTTGTGTGAGCAACTACTTGTTAGAAGTGGCTCCTGGCAATGTTTAGACTGGGGACGGGAGGACTGCCTGAGCATGATGAAGACTGCTTCCACTTCTGAAGGGCTGTCTGGGGACTGGGTGTCCACCTGCCCAGAGCCAGCGGGAATGTTACAGGGAGGCCAGCCCAGGGAAGGCTGGGCTGCACAGACAGGGAGTCAGTTTATCATCACTGAGCAAACCAGTGGGCAAGGAGAATGCAGAGAAGGTTCTTGAGGGGCCAGGCTGGACAGCTGCAGTCTGCGCTGAGTGGCGGCCAAGGGGTTCCGCTGCCCCCAGAGTGCTGAGAGTTTGGGCTCTGGCTGGGCCCCACCCTGGGGAGGTGCCCACCATCCTCCAGGCCAAGTGAGGGGGTGGGTGCCTGCTGGAGAGGCGGCACACCTCAGACGGCTGGAGCAGGAGGTGGGGCATCCACACGTCCACCCAGGCTTTCAGCCCCTAGTTACTCAGTGAAGATTTTGAGGCCTGGAGAGAGGGGGCGTGGCTTGTTCACAGACACAGGTCGCAAGTGAGGCAGAGCGGGTGCCACAAATCAGGCTTCCTAACTGTGATGTTCAATTTTAGGTGTCAACCTGAGTGAGCCACAGGGTACCCTGATGACACACACCGTTCCCAGGTGTGTCTCTGAGGGCGTTTCCCGATGACATTGACATTTGGAAAGGTGGACTCAGCACAGCAGATCCGCTCCCCAGCCAGGGCAGGCACCACCCAATCCACTGAGGGCCTGAGTGAACAAAAAGGCAGAGGAAGGAGTAACTGCCCCGCGTCTTCCTGCCTCACTGCTGGAGCGGGGACATCTCATCTCCTGCCTTTGCACCGGGATTTATATCATCAGATCCCCTGGTTCTTAGGTCTTGGGACTTGGATGGAATTACACCACCGCCTTCCCTGGGTCTCCAGCTTGCAGAACCTGAGATCTCTCAGCCTCTGCAATTGCATGAGCCAATTCCTATCTATCTATCATCTCTTGTTGGTTCTTTTTGGCTGGAGAACAGACTAATACACGAATCTGTCCTTTCCCTCCAAATGCAGCTGGAATCTCTGCTCCCCTTTACAAAGCTTCTCTGCGAAAGGATCTCTCACGCCATGGTGGGAAGGGGAGCCTCAGACCCATAGCCTCCACCCCGGGAGGAAAACAGGGCCAGGACACACCAGCAGGCCTCCTTTGATGAAGACCATGTGGTTTTGCTCCTTCTGTTACTTTGACCTCTGAACCGCACCCCCACAGACCTAATGATTTCCTGGTAAATCATTTGTAACACCCGCTTTAGTCTCCTGAAAAAAAACTTCACAGATAATATCGTCAAACCTCGCAGAGAATTTAAAAATAAAACCTTCTATCTGTAATATTAATTAGAAGTCAAAGGTAACTTATAATAAAAGAATTCGTTTCCATGTGGAATGTTTGGCCAAGATCTCACTAACAGACTGGAAGTCACTGTCACTCACTCACGATGAGTAAAGGATGAATTTGTGTCCGTGTTTGACATTTTGCAATCAGGGCTAAGCATTGCCTCGGGATAAAGATTCCCAAAGTGCTGAACAACTCTTGATAAAATCCCAAAGAAAACAAAGCACAGTCTTCCCAGGATGCACGTTGCCAGGTGCGGTCCTGAACCGCGCGTCCACGTGGCAGCAGCGCGCAGCAGGAGGCTCCCAGCTGAGATCCTCGAGGACGGGGTTCGTACCACATCGGCATCTGGAGGTCGCAGGGGACGCTTGGAAGCCGTGGAGGGCGCGGGACGAGTCACTGTGCAGGACCGCGGCAGCGCGGGGACAATCTGGAGCGCCCCGAACGCTTCGCCGCCCCACCGGGTGGCGGGTGGACTCGCCTCCGCCCGGCGGCTCCTCGGTGCATGGGCCCCAAGCGGACCTGGCGCTTTTTCAGGCGTGCAGGAGACAGAAGCCGTGACGGCTCCGCACGCACGCCCGCATGCACTCCGGCAAGTATCCCCCGGGTCACCGTGTCAATGTGCCCGTATCCCTTCTAGGGGACCCGGTTCTGACTTTCCAAGAATAAAGTACCGCGCCGCGCCCGCGGGCGGAGCTGGGAGAACCCCTCCCTGGCCCTCCACGTCTGCGCGGGGCGCGTTCTTCCGTGCGACCACAAGGGGGCGCTCCGAGACCAGGCTCGGGACCTCTGCAGGCGCAGACTTAAAATGCTTGCAGATGCGCGCGTGGTGGAAGCAGGCTGAGAGGGCCAGAAAGCATTCGTCCTTGGACTCGCATCGCGCTAGACAGTCTAATCTTTGACGGCACCGTCCAGTTTTCCAATATCCACTGTTAGCACTGAACAATTGTGTCAATTGCATTTCCAATCCTCCTAAACAATGCAATTTTGATATATAAACAGCAGTTTTTACGTTCTTCCAGAAACAGATCAACGGGAACAGGTAAAACAATTGGCCGGTGCTTGCCTACCCCGTCCGCACCCACACCCACAGTTCTCTCTAGAATAATACTAACAAAAATAATAATGCAAGATAACGATTTTGGAGAACGTACCATGTGTCATTGTTGTGGGTACTTTATATGGATGCACTTATTTTATCTTCACCAATAACACTATGAGGTGGGTGCTATGTGATAAAACTATGGTGAGGACACTGAGCCACAGACAGCTTAGTAATTTGCCGAGGGCTGCATGACTGGCAAGTAGCAGGACATCACTAAAGAAGGTACAACATTCAAAGCTTCCTGGAAGAGCGTCCTGCCTGCTGGAAGGAGGAGCTTTGGAATGTCTTAGCCATCCTTTACTATAAGAAAGCGAGGCAGGCCGGTGGCGGTGGCTCACGCCTGTAATCCCAGCACTTTGGGAGGCCAAGGCGGACGGATCACGTAATCAAGAGATCAAGACCATCCTGGCCAACATGTTGAAACCCTGTCTCTACTAAAAATACAAAAATTAGCTGGGCATGGTGGCACGTGCCTGTAGCCCCAGCTACTTGGGAGGCTGAGGCAGGAGAGTCGCTTGAACCCAGGAGGCAGAGGTTGCAGTGAGCCAAGATTGCACCACTGCACTCCAGCCTGGCAACAGAGGGAGACTCCATCTAAAAAAAAAAAAAAAAAAAAAAAAAAAAGCAAGGCAGAGCGCACCCCCAGCTGCTGTTTCTTCAAAAATGCAAGATTTATGAGAGCACTAATGCTGAAAAATTAAAAACATCGGCCGGGCGCGGTGGCTCATGCCTATAATCCCAGCACTTTGGGAGGCCGAGGCGGGCAGATTGCCTGAGGCCAGGAGTTCGTGACCAGCCTGGCCAACATAGCAAGAACCCATCTCTACTAAAAATACAAAAAAAAAATTAGCCGGGCGTGGTGGCGTGTCTGTAATCACAGCTACTCGGGAGGCTGAGGCAGGGGAACTGCTTGAACCAGGGAGGTAGAGGTTGCAGTGAGCCAAGATCGTGCCACTGCACTCCAGCCTGGGAGACAGAGTGAGACTCTATCTCAAAAAATAATAATAATAAAATACAATGAAAACATCAACAAGAAAGAAAAAAAATCCATGAAATATTTTTATACATGATGTTTGTCACTTGTTTCATTCATGAATTCATCCAGAGCAGACACCAGGTGGGTCTGAGGAGGCCAGCATTGCCCAGTGCAAATTACACTGAACCTAGCCCTGGACAGTGCCCGAGACAAAATTCTGCCTAAATGTTCAACCCTGGCCATGCGTTAGAATCGCTGGGGGAGATTTAAACAAAATGATATCTGGGTAACCCCAGTGTTAGGGAGGCAGGAGCCTAGAAGAGACAGAGTAAGATCGTCTGAAAATCAACTCCATCCCAAAGCTAGCAAGGCATATTCCTTGCCAATCATGACCCATGGTCCTAAGATGTTTACAGCTCAGGAAGCAGCTTGGGAATGGCTTGCAAGAACAAACCCCTACAACAACAGAGAGTCCAGGTGTCCCAGTACCCGCGCTGCGCCCAGGAGAAACTGAGATAAAACGAAGCCTCGGGAAGGGAAACCCCAGACGCTCGACTTTGTGACACAAAGGCCCCAGAGGGGAGGGTGGCTTTGCCTGCTCAGCACACATCATGGCTGCTGCTAAGGAGAAGGAAAAGGTTTGAGGTGTAGGGGCAGCCTGGGCCAGCTGAGTGGCAGCTTCATTCTCCCAGCAGCTGAGTGCAAGCTGCCCACTCACTAGAGCTGTTCTCCCTTGTTTTTTTATTTTTATTTTTATTTGTTTTGAGATGGAGTTTCGCTCTTGTTGCCCAGGCTGGAGTGCAGTCGTGCGATCTCGGCTCACGGCAGCCTCCACCTTCCAGGTTCAAGCGATTCTCCTGCGTCAGCCTCCCAAGTAGCTGGGACTACAGGCGCCCACCATCACGCCTGGCTAATTTTTGTATTTTTAGTAGAGACGGGGTTTCATCACCATGTCGGCCAAGCTGGTCTCAAACTCCTGACCTCAGGTGATCCACACACCTCAGCCTCTCAAGGTGCTGGGATTACAGGCGTGAGCCACCATGCCCGGCCTCTTACCACCTCAGCCACCCCTGCAACCCTCCTGGGCCGCCTCTTGCAGCTTCATCTCAGGGTTCGCTGTCCTCCCATGCCCTGGGCAGCCTCCCATGCACCCCTGTGTGGATGCCTCCTCTCTGGTAATGAGCCCAGCTCTTCTCTTGGGCTCAGCTCTTTTCAGCCCCAGGCTGATACCCCCTGCTCAGAGCCCCATGTCCTCCTGTTGACCACAGACACGTCTAAGCAGGCTCTGTCCCCTACTCCCCTTGATTCTCATCAGCGCATTGACCAGTCCAGGAGCTGGGCGTGTTCTTCACTCACTCTTACCCCTTCCTTCAGTCCTCAGGGCCAAGGAGTCCGTGAATGCTCAGGCTTCCAGCCTCTGAGCCTCCCTCTAGCCGCTCCTCCCCTCCTGCTCCCAGACGCTTTGTAGCCCCCGGCTGAGCCACTGCACAACCTGCTACCTGGTTTCCAGCTGTATTGTGGACTGGCCTGGGAGAAAGGCTCGGGCAGGGAGGGAGGAGGGAACCAGATGTACAGCAGGCCCCCAGGAGCTCCTGGCCACCGGGACAAATCAGCCACATGGGATGAAAACACAAGGCAGAAAGAGGCCAGCGCAGGCCAGTGCCGGGGAGTTCAGAGGAGGCGAAGCGGCAGGAAGCACCGGCCACGGGAAAGGCTGCATTGGATCTTGGGCCTTAAGGAGGGCTCCAAGTAGAGCAGGAAACTTGTGAAGAAGAGCCTGAGCTAAGGAATGGGGAAGGGCAAGGGCGAGGGGTCAGGGCTGTAGAGGGGCGACGAGGAGGAAGAGATAAGGCTGGAAGCCCAGATGAGCTGATTCTGCAGGGCCCTGGGGCAGAGTGAGGAGGGTGCATGTTGATGAAGGAGGCCCCAGGCAGTTATTGAAGGTCTTGCAGAAGAGGGACATGCTTCTGCCAGCGCTTCAGGCAGCTGGCCCAGCGAAATCTTATGAGAGCAAGAGGCAGGGAACAGTGAGAGCTGTTGCCTGGTTTGAGATGAGAGCCTAGAGGGCAAGGGATGCCAAGGGAAGAGAATCAAAAAGTTTCAGCAGGCCAGGCAAGGTGGCTCACGCCTGTGATGCCAGCACTTTGGGAGGCCGAGGCAGGTGGATCACAAGGTCAAGAGATCAAGACCATCCTGGCCGACATGGTGAAACCCTGTCTCTACTAAAATACAAAAATTAGCTGGGCGTGATGGTGCGTGCCTGTAGTCCCAGCTACTCGGGAGGCTGAGGCAGGAGAATCGCTTGAACCCAGGAGGCGGAGGTTGCAGTGAGCCGGGATCGCGCCACAGCACTCCGGCCGGGTGACAGAGCGAGGCTCCGTCTCCAAAGAAAAAAAAGTTTAGCAACTGAGCCGCACGTACACAGAGAACCTGAAAGACCTGAGTGTGAATCACAGAAATGCCAGCGAAAACAGCGTAGGTGTCATTCTACACTGATAGGCCTGCAAAAATTACAAAGACATCATGCCAAGTGTGGGTCAGGGTGAGGGCATCGGGGAACCTCCAGGTGCCACTGGCATAGCCCCCTGAGAACAAGCCAGCAGGTCTAAGTCTAAGGAAGGGTTTGGTGGGGGAGTCAAGCGGGTGGTGTTGGGAGATGTGAGAGGGGGAGCCTGGGCTGAGTCTCGGGTTTCTCTCCTGGGTGGCTGAAAGACAGTGAGGCCAGGAACCAAGGGCGGGGGCAGGTATGGGGGAAGGAAGGTGTGACATGCCCGCATTAGACTAGGAAACACAATGTCTTCCTCATTTCCTGTGGGGCATTTTATTTCTTATTTATTTTTTAGAGACGGGGTCTCACTATGTTGGCCAGGCTAGCCTTGAACTCCTGGCCTCTAGTGATCCTCCCACCCCAGCCTCCTGAGTAGCTGGGACTATAGGCGTACACCACTGAGCTTGGCTTGTGGGGCTACTTAAAAAAAAGAAAAAAGAAAAAAGAAACAGGCTTCCTGAGGCTCAAATCAATTACATTCTAAGGTGATGGAAGCTGATTCACAGATTCACCAAAGCAACAGACACCCAAATTCATTTGGTTTAAGAATAACCTTGCCCAGACCCTTCCGAGATTGGGGATCTTGGCCTTGGGCTGCTGGCTCCAGCCTGGATGTGTTGCCACTCTCTGGGAAAACGACCCCATGTCTAGCACATAGCAGGAGCTTCGGAAATCCCCATCGCCTGAATGCCTGTCTGAGCCACAGACACGTCCTGTCCGCTGGCAGGGATAAAGGGATAGGAAAATCCAGCAGACATTTCTCTCAATTAAATTTCCCCCTCAAAACATAACCCTGCATTAAATTACAACATCAGAATTTCTCTCTGCCAAATGATGTTGGGGAAAGAGCATGGCCAACAGCCAGCTCAGGCCAAGGAGAGATCAGTGAAGAAGCAGCTCCCAGTGTGCCCTGCTCCCCGGGGCACCTCGTGCCCCGTCTCCTGGTGATGTGTCTGGTCTGGCCCAGCAGTAACGTTTTCCATGGGTTCTGGACTAGAACTCAGCACACGCGGCTCCCACACCTCTTTTCTTTCTTTCTTTCTTTCTTTTTTTTTTTTTTTGAGACAGAGTTTCGCTCTTGTTGCCCAGGCTGGAGTGTAATGGTGTGATATCAGCTCACCACAACCTCTACCTCCCAGGTCCCGGGACAAGCAGTTCTCCTGCCTCAGCCTCCTGAGTAGCTGGGATTACAGGCACGTGCCACCACACCCAGCTAATTTTTTTTTGTATTTTTAGTAGAAACGGGGTTTCACCGTGTTGGCTAGGCTGGTCTCAAACTCCTGACCTCGTGATCTGCCCGCCTCAGCCTCCCAAAGTGCTAGGATTACAGGCGTGAGCCACCGCACCCGGCACCCACACCTCTTTTCTTCACATTCTTCAGCCTTTGGCAAATCACAGCTCCTCTGTGGGCCCCAGTTTCCTCCTCTGTGTAAGAAGGAGATTGCCTCTCAATGCTGGCTGAACCCTTCAGTCGCTTGGGGAGGCTTTTAAAAACCGGTAGTAACAAAAATCAAAACGCCGGTGCCTGGGCCCCGTTTTCTGAGATCCTGATTCAATTAGCCGGGTGTTGGTGGTGTGACCAGAAAAGGGTCTCAGTCCAGACCCCGAAAGAGGGTTCTCGGATCTCACGCGGGAAGGAGTTCAAGGCGAGTCGCTGAGTGCAGTGAAAAGAATTTGATTGAAAGCTACTCCCTTGCAGGGCAGGGCGCCCTCAGAAGGCAAGCAGAGGAATGCATTGCCTTTGTTTTAAGTTTTTCTTATGCAGGGGCCTTGTCTGTGAAGACTGAACTCAGCTGTGACTACATGTGGATGGGCTGACAGCATATGACAACATTTATCATTTTATTGATTGAAAGGAAATGATCCTTGACATTCAGCATATGTAAGCACATCAAAGCATAACTATAATTTTCCCGAAAGCATATATTGCTGTGAGTGCTGATGAAAAGAGTCGAACTCTGTAAAATATTTGAAGAGATTTATTCTGAGCCAAATATGAGTGGCCATGGCCCGTGACACAGACCTCAGGAGGGCCTGGGAACATGTGCCCAAGGTGGTCGAGGTACAGCTTGGTTTTATACATTTTAGGGAGGAATGAGGCATCAATCAAATACATTTAAGAAATACATTGGTTGAGTTCAGAAAGGCAGGACAACTCGAAGCAGCGGGGGTGGGTGCTTCCAGGCTGTAGGTAAATTTAAACATTTTCTGGTTGACAATTGGTTGAGCTTAGCTGAAGACCTGGGATCAATGGAAAGGAATGTTCAGGTTAAGATAAAGGATCGTGGAGGCCAAGTTTTATTGTGCAGGGGAAGCTCTCAGCAGACTTCAGAGAGAGAGAGAGCAGGTTGTAAACTGTTTCTTATCGACTTAAAAGGGGTGCCTGGCTCTTAGTTGATGATCTCCTGGACTGGAAAGAAAGGAAGGAAAACAAAGGGGAAAGGGGCTTCTTTATAGGATGTGGATTCTCCTCACAAGAGACTCTGCAGGGCAAGTTCAAGGTAGGGCAAGGAAATATATTTGGGGGTTAAATATTTTTGCCTCGTCTTGTAATGTTATGCCATAGTCAGATTAAAAATAAGTCATGATATACAGGGTCAAATAAAACCCATCTGATGAGAATTTATGATTTGTAAGGCGCGACTCCCTAGACCCCTTAGGTAGGAATTTGGGCAAGATAAAAAAATCAGAGCTTAGTCCTCGTGTGGAGGTGGGTGCCGGCCACAGGGTCTCCCACACGCCAGTCAGAACCCTGCCCCTGTGCTTTCTGGTCATCTCTGCTTCTGTCACATCCTTTTTTTCTCTATACCAATTTTAAATGAAATTCCAGGGAAATAAATGGAAACAGACACTGGGCTTTTGAGCCAGATGTCAGAAGGCAGTGGCCTCCACTTTGTATCACTGGGATGCAGTGAATAGACCTCAGGGTGTAGGTGAGAGCGGTTGGGTGTTACATAATGGGGAGGCATCAGGGCTGAGGATATTTTATTCTCCAGGCTGTGGTGCAGCTTTTGAGGGTGCTTTGCAAGGCATAAGGATGGCCTTGTTAGGCCGCACACTCCAGGAGAAGCGATGAAGGAAGAGGAGGAGGAGACCCTGGTTAGTGGAGCAGACCAGACTCCACCCCCTCACCTTGGGGATGTAACCCTGTCCCTTGCATGTGAAAAGCCAAGGCTTCGGAGACTCAGCTCCCCTCCGCCCCTACCTGTCGCCTGGTCAGGCCCCAGAGGCCCCCTTCCCCAGCTCCTGTATGCGCTGCTACTAGGGCCCTGCTGCCCGAGCCTCGATAGACACGGTGAGCCGCAGAGAACCGCAGCTCGACCTCAGGTCCCACTCCTGACTAGCATTGTACTGCAGTCCCAGGGAGCCCTGCTGAGGAGAGAGCTGGACGTTCAGCCAGCGACACTGGGCCTGGTCACAGGCGAGCACCACGGTGCCCTCGGGGTTGCTGTAGGTGCACTGGCTCCGGGCTGCCCTTTCCTGCACAGCCAGATCCCAGCTGCCCCCTGCCTTGCTTTCGTCCGGCCACGTGACCTGGAAGCCCAAGTGGTCCCGGGTGACGGGACACACCAGCTGCTTCTCATTCAAGGCGGGCACCACCTGGCCTTTGAGGTAGGCAGGGCCAGCGCAGTAGGTCTGGATGTTCAGGAGCCGATCGGTGTACTGCTGCAGCCAGTTGAAGAGGTAGGCCAGGTGGCAGTCGCACTGCCAGGGGTTACCGTGCAGGGCCAGGTTGAACAGGTTGTAGTTGGTGTCGAAGATGCCCTCCGGAAGTGTGGTCAGCTGGTTCTTGGAGAGGCTGAGCAGCTCCAGCTTGGACAGGTTCTGGAAGAGGGCTGGGTGCAGCGCCGTAAGGTTGTTGCTGCCCAGGTAGAGTTTGACCAACTCCTCCAGGTCTCTGAAGATGCCAGCTGGGAGGTGGGTAATGGCATTGTATGAGAGCATGAGGGAACGCAGGTTGGACAGGTGGGCAAAGGTGCCCTCAGCGACAGTCTCCAGCTGGTTATGGGTCAGAGACAGGCCAACCAGGCACGGGGTGTGGGCAAAGAGGCCGGCAGGCAGGACCCGAAGCATGTTCCACTGCAAGCTCAGAAAGGTCAGATTACCCAGGGAGGCAAAGATGGAGAGCGGCAGGTGCGTGATGGCGTTGCGTTGCAGCCACAGCCTCTCTAGGCAGAAGAGCTGGGAGAACACCTGAGGGGGCAGCTCCGAGATGTTGTTGCTGTCCAGGAAGAGCTCCTGCAGGCTGCCCAGTTTGCCAAACACACCCTGGGGGAGACCAGAGAGCGCGTTGTTGCTCAGCTTCAGGGTCTGCAGGCTGGTGAGTGGGTGGAACAGCTCCTCCGGGAGCTGGGCCAGGAGGTTCTGGGCCAGGTTGAGTGTCTTCAGATGGGTCAGAGGCTGGAAGAGCCTCCTGGGCAGGGCCTGGAGCTGGTTCCCCTGCAGGTGGAGGGACTCCAGGGCAGCCAGGTGCTGGAAAAGACCCTCGGGCAGAGCCTCCAGCATGTTGAAGTTGAGGGTGAGCTTGCCCAGCGAGGTCAGGTTGGAGAAGATGTTGGTGCTGAGGTTCAAGAAGCTACTGCCTGTGACCTCCAGGTCCTCCAGCCTGGGCAGCCCCCCGAAGGCATCCGGCCTAAACTGGCAGAGCTGAGTGTTGAGGAAGACCACCTTGGTCAAGTTGGGGTTACTGCCAAAAGCTCTGGTTTCCAATGTGGTGAACGAGGTCTCCACAAAGATGATGTTTTTCGTATATGGCGGGATGTCCAGTGGGACGGTGGCAAGCTCCTCATCTGAGCAGAACACCTCCTGGACGAAGCAGTCACAACCCATGGGACAGGGCTGGGCAGGCCTGGCCAGGAGCAGGAGGGAGGTCCAGAGCAGCCAGGCTCCAGGGAGCATCTTCTAGATTCGAGGAGGGAGAGAGAACAGGAAGAGAAACTTGATCATCACACAGCATGGCACAGTGACCAGGGCACAGTGACCAGGGCATAGTGACCAGAGCACTGGACAGCGAGCTCCAACATGCGGCAGGACCAAGACCCAGGGCTTTGGGGCTTTCTGTATTCTTCTCAGACTGGGGAAAGAAGTGGAAAGGAGACAAAAAGGCATGGAAGAGAGACACAAAAGGAGACCATGGGCATTGTGGAATTTTTAAAGATAACATATAGGATATGGACAGATGATTCCTGAGTTGGAAGCTCCTAGACCGTAACTCTTCCTGAGTTTCCAAATCTCAGCACACGTCAGAGCCAAATGATGCAGAGATCCTGGCACCTGCTCTTTGCACAGTTGGTGGAGGGGAAGTGCAGCCACAGAGATGAGATGGCTCCTCAAAACTGCTGCTGAAATGCCCTCCTCCTGCCCACCTCTGCCCATCTCTGCCCACTCCTCCACGGCGAGACCCGAGGAGATTTCCAACGTCATGTGGACAGAAGGACCCCAGACCTGGGGATTCTACAGAACAGTAGATTTCTTTAAAATTCTCTAAAATTCTTTAGATTTTCTTTACTGTTTTTTAAAAAATTAAAAAACAGATTTTCTAGCATGTACTCACAGGTCACAAATTGGTGATGCACCTTACAAATATGTTTTATTTATTTCTCAGTGACATTGTTCATATATGAATCAGTAGCCAACATGTAAAAATTGGAAAACGTCACAATAAAGGTCTAGGTTTCAGAGTGATCTGGGGACAGTGGGCCCGCATTGCCACATAGCAAGACCAGCTGGGGCATCGTGGCCCCTGCCCTGTTAGAGGGTGTGTGCCCTCCAGGCCGCCACTGTTCCCATGCAGAGCACTTATTCACATGCCTTGCAGTGGTCCTAATTCCATGAGTTCAAATCTGAGGTCCATTGCTTTCTAGCTACGTGACCTTGGGCTTATTGCTTAATCCATCTGTGCTTCAGTTTCCTTATCTGTACAATGGAGATTAGAATAGTCCCTACCACATAAGGGTAATTGTTAGGGATTAAGTGAGTATATATAGGTAACAGTTTTACATCAGGATCTGGCATAGAGTGAGTAATTAATCAACCACATTAACCATTGTTAAAGGTTGCAAGCTACCTCATTACAGAAAAGGTTATTTGAACACCAAAAAATAAAAAAATAAAAACAAAATGCTCTTTAGACGGAATACACTTGAATTTACCAAAAATTTAAAAAAGAAAGAAGCTCTTTCACAACATAATCCTAATTTTTCTTAATCAACTTCTTCTCAGTAAAAGGGGTCCGCGAATCGGGTTCTGCAGTTGCAGAATCTGGGTCCCTAGCGCTCCTCGCTGGCTGTCTCTCTGCTGCCCTCTGCTGGTGCCTCCTCCACCTGGAGATTCCGCTTCTGGCTGAAGGTCTCCCATTAAACTCATGGGTTTAGGACTCAGTGCTTATTAGGGGAGCCCCCTTGACTCTCCCGCTCAGTCACTCAGTGACTCTCAGTCCTTCCAGGAATGTTCTGCCTCATCATTAGAGAAGGGACAACTTCTCCCTGAGAAAATGCACACCTTCCTTTAGGCTGCTCTAAGGCATGCATAGCTAAGTGAGCTTGGGGAGGCGGTAAGGAAAATCTCTACCAGTAATAACCGCTGGCCTGGGATTAGAATCTGACTCCTGCGGCCAGGCGCAGTGGCTCACGCCTGTAATCCCAGCACTTTGAAAGGCCAAGGCAGGTGGATCCTGAGGTCAGGAGTTCAAGATTAGCCTGGCCAAGATGGTGAAACCTGTCTCTACTAAAACCTACAAAAATTAGCCAGGTGCGGTGGTGCACATCTGTAATCCCAGCTACTCGGGAGGCTGAGGCAGGAGAATCGCTTGAACCCGGGTGGCAGAGGTTGCAGTAAGCCGAGATCGTGCCACTGCACTCCAGCCTGGGTGACAGAGTGAGACGTCCATCTCAAAAATAAATAAATTAATTAAAATAAAATAAATAGAATCTGACTCCCGCAATCACCTCTTCCAGGAAAAGGAAAATGTCCCTGCCACTTAGGACATGTGAGGGGAAGGAACAAGCCTCAGGCAAACGTGTGCCTCCTGGCTCTGTGTCCCTAGACCCCAGCTACAGAGTTAGCATGAGACTAGGAACAGAAAGCAGTGGGCCTGGCTGAAGAGGCATGGGGTAGCCACTGTCCCCCAACACACACCACACACACACACAGCTGCCACTAGCACCTGGCCTGCCCCTGAGGCACCTACACAAAACCCCTAGGGGTCCTGAAAGAAGCCACCCCTGACCCTAGGAAGAAGGACCTGGAGGTACATGTCTCCACCCTAACACTCAGCACAGGTGCCGAAATGATGGGTTTTCATGGCAGTCTTTTCTGTGTACTCATCTCTCTATGCCCAGAGCAGCAGTGACTTCCTTTGGGCTCAGGCAGGTTTTGTTGAATGGAGCTCTCCAAGGCTGGGAAGAGCAGTTTGGGAGGCAGAGCCACCCCCCTGGGATGGGCAAACCCAGAACAAATGACCCCCAGCCAGGCTGCCAGAGCTGCCTCGATTCCTCCAGAGAGCAAGAGGGGAGCAGTTTTGTTTAATTTTATTATTTTTTGAGACAGAACTTCACTGTGTTATCCAAGCTGGAGTGCAGTGGCACGATCATAGCTCACTGCAGCCTCAATCTCCCGGGTGTAAGTGATCCTCCTGCCTCAGCCTCCAGAGTGGCTGGGACTATAGGCATACACCACTGTGCCCGGCAAATTCTTATTTTTACCATGCCATAATATGATCATTATGCCAGTCCCTCTTCCTTGCTAGCCCCATTGGTCATTGTTTCTCAAAGGCTATTTCCAGAAAGTACTCCCCTGGAGTGATGGACCAGACAACGCTGGGGCCTGTGGGTCCCGAGACCAGCTGGCCTCCTCCCAGGGAGAGTGAGGCAAGGTCCCGGGGTCTTCACAGCAGGGCTTGGCTTGTGGAGCCCAGATCTCCTGGTTTTGTTCATCCCTCCCGCCAGGAAAACAGGGCCAAAGCCGGAGTTGCACCATGGAATGCTCGAGCCCACTGGGGTGAGGATACCTCTCTGCGGAGCGAGCTGAGCTGCTCCCTGGCTTCCCTGGGTCTGTGCCTCTAACTTTTCATCCGTTGTCTTTGGAAATAATGTGCTTTACACATTTCCAACAAAGGAAGGAGCTCTAGGATTCAAGCCTTGAATCAAAGCCATGGCACTGGTGGCACAGAAAGTCTAGTACAGGCAAATCAGCTAAGGCTCGGGAGATGCAGGCAGAGGGAGAGATATCTCCCTGATGTGGGGGTTTGGCTGAGGGGTTAGTTCCCACCTGCCAGTTCCCAAAGCTCCCGCACATACATCTTGATCCTCAGCGCAAACCTAGAAGTGCCCAGGGCAGGCAGACTGGGGCTCCCGGAGCTACAGTGACTGGCCCAAGGGAACACAACACAGAAGCGAGGGGCCAGGGCCAGTCCTGACAGCCCGGGCTCTGCAGGGAAGATGGACCCGGGGAGGCAGCCCACGGAGGCCGGGGTCCTGGGTACCCAGAGCATGGTTTAAAATGGGGGCACAGCCTCCAGACGGACATGTGCCCTTGGCACCCCTTGTGGGTGGTATCACTGGGGGAGGAGGGCCAGAACAGGGCCCTCTAAAGTTCAGGGCAAGACCCCTCTTGCCTGGGTCTACTGGGGCAGGGAGCAGGGAGGCAGGGATGGTTCTCACAGTGAGGGCGCAGAACACTGACAATTTCCAGACGGTCCACTCTCAGCCCGAGCCCCATCCTCACCTCACTCGGGAGTGGCTACGAGTCAGACAGCCTGGGTTCAAATCCTAACTCCCCTCCAGCTTAGCTCTGTGGCTTTGACTGCATTGCTTAACCTCTCTGTGTTTTGCTTTCCTCCTCTTCCAAACAATGAGCACACTACTACCTTCCTGATGAGGATGTTATGAGGATGGAATGAGAAAACGCATGGAAAGCTCTAAGCTCAGGGCCTGGCACATGGCAAATGCGTGGCAACGTTAGTGACCCTGATCTTCCGAGCAGTGCAGCCCCAGCTCTGTGCTGAAGCAGTCATGGGTTAGCTAGGGAGAAACCCATGAGATCATCCAACCACCCCACTGTGAGCCAATGAGACGCCTCTCCACAGCACTCCTTCTAGCTCTTTCCTCCAGCCAAGGGAAAGAGCTAGAAGGTTTAGGGGAGCAGAGATTCTGAGGGCTCTGACTGGGAGCTCTGGCCTTGGCCCCTTCCCCAGCCTGGCCTCAAGAAAGCAGGTCACTGGGGAGCTCTGGAGATGGACGCGCCCCTCCCTGGGAACTGGGGAGGCTGGCCCCCAGGGCCACAGTGGGGTGGCAGCCAGAGGTTTTCTGCTCCTCATCTGGGAATAAGACCATCAAATGCCCACAAATATGTTCCACACTTTCGGCAAGCCAAGGAAGTCTGGCTTTTTAAATGGGGTTTTTTTTTTTTGAGGGATAGGGAAGGTTTGGCTGGGTGCAAATGAGCTCCTTCCTCTCCTCACATTGCTTATGGGAGGGTACGTTTCTGTGCATGCCTCAAGCCAGTCTGTCATCCACCACAGAGCTAAGCCTCACTTCTTCCAGAGGGTGATGGGACCTAGAATGGGGCCTAGAACCCTGGCCCCAGACACCCAGGGACTGCCACCCGACGCTGGCTCCATGGATGTCTGCCTCACCAACGGGCCTGGATTTGGCCATTTGGGCTCCAGCTCAGCTGGAAGCACAAAGAGGGGCTTCTGAGACTTATCCAGAGTCCCTGGCTGCTCCCCAAGCCTGGTCCCCTCTCTTCTCAATCCAGCAACGTAAGTCCAGTGGCTGAGACGGTCAGGTTTGCACTGGGTTCTAGCCTCTGCTCCTGCCTTGGCCAGCCCACCCCACCCTCTGCCCAGTTCAGCCCACCCCATCCGCTGCCCAGTTCAGCCCACCCCACCCTCTGCCCAGTTCAGCCCACCCCATCTGCTGCCCTGGCCAGCCCACCCCACCCTCTGCCCAGTTCAGCCCACCCCACCCTCTGCCCAGTTCAGCCCACCCCATCCGCTGCCCAGTTCAGCCCACCCCATCCTCTGCCCAGTTCAGCCCACACCACCCACTGCCCAGTTCATCCCACCCCATCCGCTGCCCAGTTCAGCCCACCCCATCCTCTGCCCAGTTCAGCCCACACCACCCGCTGCCCAGTTCAGCCCACCACCCCCGCCCAGTTCAGCCCACCCCATCCTCTGCCTAGTTCAGCCCACCCCATCCGCTGCCCAGTTCAGCCCACCCCACCCTCTGCCCAGTTCAGCCCACCCCATCCGCTGCCCAGTTCAGCCCACCCCATCCTCTGCCCAGTTCAGCCCACACCACCCACTGCCCAGTTCATCCCACCCCATCCGCTGCCCAGTTCAGCCCACCCCATCCTCTGCCCAGTTCAGCCCACACCACCCGCTGCCCAGTTCAGCCCACCACCCCCACCCAGTTCAGCCCACCCCATCCTCTGCCTAGTTCAGCCCACCCCATCCGCTGCCCAGTTCAGCCCACCCCACCCTCTGCCCAGTTCATCCCACCCCATCCGCTGCCCAGTTCAGCCCACCCCATCCTCTGCCCAGTTGTGTCCCAGGGAGTGAAGCCACCTCTCAGAGTCCCAGTCTGCGACTGTAAACCAAGAACGACCATGATAACAATAATCATCATAATACCTCAGTCCCGGCATGGTTAGGGCTATTGTGACTCTCAAATGAGAGAACAGGCATTGGGCCGCAGCAAGAAAATAGAAACAACCTAAATGTCCAACATGAGGGATTGGTTACATGAATCATGCTACTCGGATGTAATGGAAACCCTCTCTGCTATGTTTAAAATTATATTACAGGCTGGGTTCAGTGGCTCATGCCTGTCATCCCAGCACTTTGGGCGGCAGAGGCAGGAGGATTGCTTGAGGCCAGGAGTTTGAAATCAGCCTGGGCAACATGGTAACATCTCATCTCTTCAAAAAATTATAAAAATTACCCAAGCATAGTGGTGCATGCTTGTAGTCTCAACTACTCGAGAGGCTGAGGTGGGAGGACGGCTTGAGACTGGGAGGTCGAGGCTGCAATGAGTGGGTGATTGCTCTACTGCACTCCAGCGTGAGAAGGGGGAGACCTTGTCTCAAAAAAATAGAATAAAAGATAAAATTTTAAACAAAAAGAAAATTTATTATAGATGTGTATTTATGGACAAGATGTTTGCAATATCTTAAGTGAAATATATGAAGTCTCAGAATGCTGCTTTTCCATTTTTAAGGTGTATTTGTACACAGAAAACATAATAGAAGCTTATGTACAAAATATTTGTGGTGGGGTCTGGCACTGTGGCTCACACCTGTAATCCCAGCACTTTGGGAGGCTGAGGCGGGAGCATCACCTGAGATCAAGAGTTCAAGACCAGCCTGGCCAACATGATGAAACCCCGTCTCTACCAAAAATACAAAAATTAGCTGGGCGTGGTGGTGTGCGCCTGTAATCCCAGCTACTCGGGAGGCTGAGGCAGGAGAATCGCTAGAACCCGGGAGGCGGAGGTTGCAGTGAGCCGAGATCGCACTATTGCACTCCAGCCTGGGCAACAAGAGAGAAACTCCATCTCAAAAGAAAAAAATTTGTAGTCATTACCTCTGAAAAATTGAATTGTGGATGATTTTAATTTTTTCCTTCTGCTTAAAAATATATGTTCCACATTTTTAAGTAAGAAACATATCACTTTTGCAGTAAGGTTGAAACCTATTTTATTCTAAATATTGAGATAAACATGTAAAATGCACAGCACAGTTCCACACACACAGTAGGGGCTTACTTGACTCTTTCCTTCCTGGCAGTGATGTTGCAAAGGCCCGAGGGAGCTTGTCTATCCTCTGTGTTAGCTTCTGGAAGAGAAGACAGCTGACAGGTTGAACTAAGAGGCCGTTGTGAACTGGGCACTATGCGACCCTCCCAATTTATACCCACCCTCCCAGTCCAGTGCAAGTCACACTTCCCCCATGAAGCCTTCCTGACTACCCTCTTCTTTTTTTTTTTTTTTTTTTTTTTTTTTTTTTTTTTTTTTTGAGACAGAGTTTCACTCTTGTTTCCCAGGCTGGAGTGCAGTGACGCCATCTCTGCTCACTGCAACCTCTGCCTCCCGGGTTCAAGCGATTCTCCTGCCTCAGCCTCCCGAGTAGTTGGGATTACAGGCGCCTGCCACCACATCTGGCTAATTTTTGTATTTTTAGTAGAGATGGGGTTTCACTGTGTTGGCCAGGCTGGTCTCGAACTCCTGACCTCAGGTGATCCGCCTGCCTCGGCCTCCCAAAGTGCTGGGATTACAGGCGTGAGCCACCGCGCTCGGCCCTTTCTTGGGTCCTCGGATCCCTCTTGTACTGTGTTGAATGTTTGGGCTCTTCCGCTCTGTTTTCTAGTCAGTTGCACCCACCCGACTGAGCCCGTGGTACTGCAGTCTTGCTGTGGTGTCTCTGCAAGCAGCTCTGCACCCCAGCACCTGGCTCGGGGCCAGGCACTGAGAAGGCAGTCAGGCCCTGTGTGCTGAATTGAAGGAATGTGTTTGTGGCTTTCAGTGACTTCGCATCTCAGGCCTTACTCTCATCCTGCTTAGTAGCAGGGGAAAGCACTTTAGCTCCGCCAGTGCCCCCAGCTGGGATCAGATTCTGACGCCATCACCTACTAGCGGTGTGGGCTTGTGCAAATCACTCCAACTCTCTAAGCCTCAGGTTTTCCAGACTTAATTATCACCTCTGCCCTCAGAGTTCAAATTAGCACTCCATTGGATGATAAATAGGCTAAATAAGATAGTAAATAGAAAGCCCTTAACACAGCGCCTGGCACATACTGAATGTTCAATAAAAGGTGGCCCCCTGCAGGTTTATTTCACCACAAACTTTATTATATGAGCCAGCACGCTTCTGGGAAGGAAACCAGGAGCTAGTCATCCTTGGGCCTGAGCTGGGTGCTGTGGCATGCGCTTGTAATCCCAGCTACTCAGCAGGCTGAGTGGGAGGATCGCTTGAAGCCAGGAGTTCAAGACCAGCCTGAGCAACATAACAAGACCCCCATCTCAAAAAACAATAATTATATTAATAAATAATTAATAATATTTAGTATTAATATAGGATTAATAAGTAATTAGTAATACTATTTATTATTATTATGCCAAGATGACAAGTATAAACTAGGCAGAACCAGGCCAACCTGGACATCTGGTCACCCTGCTTATCCTCTACTCACTACCAGCCTTGTAGGCCAGGACTGGCAGATCTTCATCTCACAAACCCCCGCCCCACCTTCCTCCTGCCTCTTCCCAGCAGCGCCCTAGCTGAGCACCTCAGGGACTTCTCCTCCCGGGGCAGGGGCCCCCCAGAACCGCAGCCTGCCTGGAGCTGCGGAATGCTCTGAAACGGGGGAGATCGCAAGTTCCCGTTCCTGCCCCCACGTCCCTGCAGACCCTGGAGCCCTTCAGCGACCCCGGGAGCCTACCGTGAGGGCCGAGCGGGTGGCGCCGGGCTGCCCTGTCTTCCTCAGGAGCAGAGAGGAGTCTGGTGTGGCCTGTGGTCAGCTCAATCCAGCCCCAGCGCTGATCAAAGTTCCAGGCAGTGGTTCCTCCCCTCACGTGGCCCCAGCGTCCCAGAATGTCACCAGGGTCACAGGACGGGAGAGGGCCTTGGCAAGGCCTCTGAAGATTACAAAATGACCCTGAACTCCTCCCATGTACAGAGCCCTGCCGGGGCCAAAATCCCACCGAGGTTGCAGGGTTGGCACCTTCAGGACCCCGAGGACACTCAGAAAGCTCTAGAGATTCCCGCAGGCGGCTGGGTTGGTGAGGCCTGGGATGGGGTCCACGCTCACACCCATACCTGTGAGCAGAGGCAGAGGGACTGGGAGCCTGCCTTCAGCCTCAGGCCCCTGCTGGGCTCTCAGCGCCCGGAGGCATTTCAAGAGGGCTGTGGATTTGTTGTTTTGTCTTGTTGTGTTTGTTTGCTTGTTTAATGAATGAACTTTCTAAACCCTTCCTGAATTAGAAGGGGGAAAAGCTATAGGGAGATGAATTGGGGCCCAATATGGAGAGGAGCGCTCACACACTCAGGGCTGGCCGAGGACGAAAGATGCTGCTTTGGAAGGGAGGGATTTTCCCATCTCCGGAGGTGTGGAACCAGGGCTGCAAGACACACGGAGTGTGTGTGTGCTGAGTGCGTGCATCTGGGGGTGTGCATGTAAGTGGGTGTAAATGTGAGTGGCTGTAGGGGGTGTGTGGTGAGTGCATGTGTGGGGGTGTGTTGTGTGTGTAAGTGGGTGTATGTGTGAGTGGGTGTGTGCGCGCGTGGGTAGGGTGTGTGTGTGGTGAGTGCGTGTGTGGGTGCGTGTGTGGGTGTATGTGTGAGTGGGTGTAGGGGTGTGTGTGGTGAGTGCGTGTGTGGGGGTGTGGTATGTAAAGAGGGTGTATATGTGAGTGGGCGTGTGTATGTGAGTGTAGGAGTGTGTGTGGTGAGAGCACATGTGTGATGTGTGTGTAAGTGGGTGTATGTGTGAGTGGGTGTAAAGGTGTGTGTGGTGAGTGCGTGTGTAAGTGGGTGTAGGGGAGTGTTTGGTGAGTGCATGCGTGTGGGTGTGGGGTGTGTGTGTGTAAATGGGTATATGTGTGAATGGGTGTAGCGGTGTGTGTGGTGAGTGCGTGTGTAAGTGGGTGTATGTGTGAATGGGTATGTAAGTGGGTGTAGGGGAGTGTTTGGTGAGTGCGTGCGTGTGGGTGTGGGGGGTGTGAGTGGGTATATGTGTGAATGGGTGTAGGGGTGTGTGTGGTGAGTGCGTGTGTGTAGGTGTGCAGTGTGTGTAAGTGGGTGTATGTGTGAGTGGGTGTGTGTAAGTGGGTGTAGGGGTGTGTGTGGTATAAGTGGGTGTGTATATGCATGAGTATGTCTCGTGTGTGTAGAATGAGAGTGTGTGAGAAAATGTGTGGTAAGTGGGTGTGAGTGTGCAGTGAGTGGGTGTGTGGGTGTATGTGTGTGGTGAGTGGGTGTGTGTGTGCAGTGTGTGGGTGTGTGGTGTGTGTGGTGAATGGGTGGGTGTGCGTGTGTGCAGTAGGTGTGAGTGTGTTGGGGTATGTGTGTGTGTGGTGTGTGGTGAGTGGGTATGTGTGAGTGTGCACTGAGTGAGTGTGAGTGTGAGGATGTATGTGGGTGTGTGGTGAGAGCGTAGGAGTGGGTGTGTGGAGGCGAGCAGGGTGAAGGGGTGACCTGGACGAGCAGTCTAAGATCGTTTCAATGCCAGGAGTCTACCATTTAAAGTAGACTGATGGCTTTTTCACTCATTGCATGGTATTGATTTTTATCTACGCTTTTTATGAGTACAAATTAATGTTTCTTTTGCACGTGAGCTGATTGCATCAGCCAAACTGCAAAGGTCTAATGGAGTGTGGCAAGGAAGTGTGTTTCAGTGGCGATATGCCACAAATGCACTCTGGCAGAGGACAGCGGGAGCCTCTGGGATGGAGACAGGCGGTGAACAGTGTGCCCAGCTCCCCCTCAGCGGCCCCCGGGCTGGCAAGGGTGGGACAGTGGCTGGGAAAAATGGCTTGCGTGGGGGCACTCACAAGCAGTTCTGGGAAGAGCCTGGCACTGCCCTGTACTCAAGGTTCTCAAGCCATCCACACTCGCCTCCAGCAACACCGTTTGTTCATTGGTCAACGTGGCCTGGTGAACAAGAGAAATTTGGCATTGGACAGATCTAGGTTTGAATTCTGACTCTTCAACTAACTAGTCAGTCCTTAGACAAGTGATTTAATCTCTACAAGTCTCTGCATTCTCGTCTGTGGAATGGGTGTGGCAGAAGGCCTGGGGAGGTAGGAGACAGAGAGAGAGAGTGTGTGTGTAGGGTGAAACATCTGTGGAAGGGGACTTGCATTAAAAATTCCAAGGATCAGCCAAGCGAGGTGGCTCACGCCTGTAATCCCAGCACTTTGGGAGGCCGAGGTGGGTGGAACATGAGATCGGGAGATCGAGACCATCCTGGCCAATATGGTGAAACCTCATCTCTACTAAAAATACAAAAATTAGCTGGGTGTGGTGGCATGTGCCCGTAGTCCCAGCAACTAGGGAGGCTGAGGCAGGAGAATCGCTTGAACCCGGGAGATGGAGGTTGCAGTGAGCCAAGATCGCGCCACTGCACTCCAGCCTGGGTGACAGAATGAGACTTTGCCTCAAACAAACAAACAAAAAAATTTCAAGGATCTTCTGAAAGAGAAGGGATGGAGATTCTAACTCCTTTCCCCATTATCCAAAATTCCAGAAAGCTGTTTGAGTGTACTAAGGTTCAGTGGCTAGGGAAGGGCAACAAGGCCCTGCCTTGCTCATGGGAGGGGTCCAGCCCTGTAATATGATGAACATGACTGACCCCTGTTGGGCTTAATCTCCTGGGACAGGCTTACACCTGGCAGAAGGGATCTAAGACACTAGAAGAGTCCAGGTAAATATGATTGGAAGCCCTTTTCCTGTGTATAATCATGGGATAAAGGGACAGGGACAGCAGATCACCCCTCTCTTAACTGCTGGACCTGCACCAGCAGCTGTGGCACCCCCAGAACCCAAAGGCCTGAGGGAGTTCTGGAGACACCTGGACACTTGGAGGGAGTCACCTTCCTTCAGACAGTGTTGCCTGAGAGCCTGGGACTTCCTGAGCCTGGTGCTAAGTACTTAGAGGAGTCCAGAGGTGTGTAACATAGTCCTGCCACCTGCCTGCATGCATGTGTGTGTGTGCATACACACGTGTGCTTTGAACAAATGCTGACAGAACGTCAGTGGCTTCCTGGTGGCATAAAAGAACCAGCCTGGGAGCCTGAAGGCCTGGGTTGCAGGGCTGGCTCAGCCACTGGCTTACTGGTGACTATTGGACATTCATTTCCTGTCTTGAGCTCCTTTTCCTCATCTATAAAATGGATTGAACTTATCCTTCAGGTCTTTTCCAGCCACGGTGGCCTATAGATACCATTTGTTATTTTCTTTTGGGTCCCCACTTATTTTCTTTTCTTTCTTTTCTTTTTTTTTTTTTTTTTTTGAGATGGAGTCTCACTCTGTTGCCCAGGCTGGAGGGGCAGTGGCACAACCTTGGCTCACTGCAACCTCTGCCTCCTGGGTTCAAGAGATTCTCCTGTCTCAGCCTCCCGAGTAGCTGGGATTACAGGCACACACCACCATGCCTGGCTAATTTTTGTATTTTTAGTAGAGATGGGTTTTTGCCATGTTGGCCAGGCTGGTCTTGAACTCCTGAGCTCAGGTGATCCACCCACCTCGGCCTCTCAACGTGCTGGGGTTACAGGTGTGGGCCACCGCACCCGGCCTCCCACTCACTTTCCAAAGGCCTATTCTCAGCCCAGAATCTGCTTTCTGTAAGGATCTGTCCAGTTCAACCTTGCACAAACATAGAAGAGCAGAATCCACAGGTGTGAGACCACCTACCCAAGACTTCCATAGAGAGCACACACAGCCCATGTATACATGTATATTATTTATTGTTGATTCTGTACACCAAATGGATTACAAGCAGCATCCAGCAGAAGACAGACCCCCCAACCCTGCCCACCAGGGCTCACACTCTACAAAACCCTGAGGGCCTAGAAATCTGTAAATGCATCGCCAAGCACTGGGGCTGATTTGCAGTAATTCTCTAAGCAAGGCAAACATGATCTAGCTTTGAAGGCAGCATGAAGGCAGCGGGTTGGTGAGAACAATCTCTCCTTAAGAGAAGAAGAAACCTGGGGCGGAAGGAGTTTTCCCCGGAAGTGGCTTGCCAGCCCACCCTCTCTGAACCACAGCCATGGCTTCCTTCCCAAGGCCACTGCTGGCTTCCCAACAACGCAGATTCAGTTCTGACTGTGGGATCTGGGGGCTGAATCTTTGAGTGGTTTATAGCTAAAAGCTAGGATACATCTAACATCTGTCGACCAACTCTGGGTCCCGAGTTATCTCTAGCTGTCTGCTCTCTGCAAACTTCCTGAGTTTGGAAGTTCTTTCCCAATAGCTCTACATCAGCATCTGAAAGGTTGTGGAAATTGTGTCCATGAAAAGTTCTAAGTAGAACTCTTGTATCTCTAAATTCTAAGGAGGAAGAACAATATACATACAGCCCAATTCCCATGAGAGGGACAAACTATTCTATTCTTTAAGGGATGGAAGAGTTTATTTTTTCCTGTGGTTACAAAGCTTTTGATCTATATGGTACCAAGTGAGGTTCTGATGACCAAGACTAAGGAGAGCAACAGGGGAATGGCTTCCATTTCCTTTGGTTTAATGACGAAAGCCCAAGACAAGCCATGAGCTCTTGTACAAAGTTTGAAGAGATAAATAAAACTCCCAGCCTATTGAACACCATGCAGAAGAGCAAGTGCCTCTGTACCCCATCACAAGTGGGTAGAGGCGGCACTCCTACCGCAGGGGTGCTGAGGGCTAGAGAGAGAATCCACGTCCAGTGCTTGAAGAGTATCTGTGCACAGTAAGCACTTTTTAAAAATAGTGGTTCTAATTGGCTTTTGTTGTTTCTTCTCCAACACTGACTCCCAGCTCCCACTCCAGATGGGCGTGGGACTGTCAAGGAGCTGTAAACAGAGAGGAAAACTGAACTCTGTACCCCACTCCAGCTTTCTGGGGGACCAGCCGGCTCATTCCAGCCCTGAGAATTGAGCAAATGCATCATCCTGTTGGAAAGGAGACTCCACTCAGCTTTTCTAGTAGCTCCTCAGCCAGACAACATGGTGCAGAGAGGTTGAAGGGCCCGCTGAAGAAAAGGAGGCCAATGGCTCCATCCAACCACTCTGATGGGAGAAAGGAAGAGGCAAGAGGTTCACATAAGGGGGCCCTCACCCCTCACCTAGGGTGCTCCTGGGTGGTGTCATCTGAGGACAGTGGCCCTCAGGTCAGCCTCTGGCTGGAGAGGAAGGTGCTCCAATGTCATGGCTACTGCCAGGAATACCTAAGGGTTCTGGGTTAAGATTGGCAGGGCCCACCGGATGATGAGGTTTCCCACCTCCCTCCAGCCCTGGCCCACTTGTGCCTATGCACAAAGACATCTGGAGGCCACTCACAGGAGCACCCGACAGGTCTGTGGGCAAACCCATGCTTCCTGTCTGGAGGGGTACGGGCCGGGATGCCCCTGTTGGCACCAGGCACAGCAGGCCACCATCAGCGGGTGATGCTCATGTGCCATGCTCTGGGCTCACTTCCTGTTGGCTCTGGCAAGCCTTGGTGCATGTCCTCCAGGTGCCACCAATAGTGTGGAAATGCCTTGGAGACCCTGGGGGGATGACATCTCTTGACTCTGACGGGCCTCATCTCTCCTAGATTCCCTGGGACAGAGGGTGAAAAGCTACAAAGTGCACTAGTGTTTGCAAACAGCCCTCTGGACACTTTTTGTGCAGGAACTGGAAGGGAAAACTGGTCAGCACGTGCTCCTGTGGCCCTGGAGGATGTCACAGGTGTCTTGTGGAGCGGGGAGCTAATAAGAGCCGATCGGGATTGGTGGTAGATTTCCAGATCACAGGTGTCTTGTGGAGCGGGGAGCTAATAAGAGCCGATCGGGATTGGTGGTGGATTTCCAAAGCACAGGTGTCTTGTGGAGCGGGGAGCTAATAAGAGCCGATCGGGATTGGTCGTGGATTTCCAGATCCCCGTGGAGTCAGCTGAAGTTCTTTCCTGGGCAGACGTGGAGACCTGAAATTCTCCATTTCACTGTAAACTGGGCCAGTTGTCCAGAGAAAGACACACGTTGCCATGAGCCTAACTTCTTGAGCGCCATGTGAATATGTGTATAGCAGGAAAGCCAGAGAAGGCAGGTATTCGTGTGACTGTGACTCGAGGAGGAGAATAACCCTGGAGCAAACAACTCAACTCCTAACCAGACCACACGCAGGAGGAGCTCCAGGGAGCCCCCAGACCCAGTGTGACCCATCGGTGTACCCCCGTGTCGCCTGCTGTAAGTGAGATTCTGAAGTTCAGCTGCCAGCTGACTGTGATGTTGATGGAGAATTTTACCACATTAGAAAGACACTAGATTCCGTTACACTTCGTTTTCAATTAAAGGATCTCATCTCTGAGCGATTTCACTTCCCCTAAGTGAAGAATGAAAATTAAAAACAGATACAGGCATATCACGTCCATAGAAGGCTCCAGGCGGAGGGGCCTCCGATGAGCCGCAGACAGCTTGCTGGCAGGGAAGAGGGTGTGGCTGCACGGACCTCTGCAGTCAGGATGCTTCTGACCTGGCCAGCCATGGTGCCCCAGGTCTCAGGGTCTCTCAGGGTCTCCAGATATAATAAAATCTCCTGTTCAGGCCACAGTCTCCCATCCTGTCCACACCCACATATTCTCCTCCACCCCTGGCCACGGGGCCTTTGCACAGGCTGACTGTGGGGGGACCGTCCTGGCTCATGGGGGGCAGGTCCCAGGTAAGTCCATCTTCAGAAGCCCCCATCTCCTCTGGGAAAAGCCCAGGATGGGGGATATTTGTGATGCTCTGGGTCTGGGTCTAGATGCTGATTACACAGGTATGTTCAGTTTGTGAAAATCCACCAAGCCATACACTATCATGTTCCCACTTTTCTGCACGTACACTTCACATGCTTCAATTAAAAATTTTAAAACAAACTCTAGGGGTGAACACAGGGACCCCCAGGCACCAGATTTCTTTCTCTATCCCGTATTAATAAGCTGATTTTAATGTTTTTAGAAGTCCAAAATTCTACATGATTTCATTCCTTAAAGGGCTAAACTTTTCAAAGCAAAGTTTGCAGTTTGGAAATATCCTTCTCTAAAAGGCTGAGCTTGCTGTGCTGGGGTGTTTCTTCCTTTTCCAGATAAAAATCACAAGTGAGACACTGATGACGGCTCTTCTGTCTCCAGGAACTGAGCGGCATGATTTTCCTTCTCTCTTTCATAGCATCCCCAAAACCAGGCTGATTGACGGCTCTTAAGAAACCAGTTAAATGGTTTGAAGTCTTCTTTGAGGAGAGAACTCACCCTGCCTTCAGGAGCAGAAAATCAAGGGGAGAACTTTCATTTGAGGGGACATGCTGGGTCAAGCCGTAGCACAAACAAGAGAAACAAAAGAAGGGAAATCAACTTACATAATACTTAGGCGAGAGGGGCTATCTCAGCGGAGAACTATTCCCACGAAGTGAGCAGGCTGTGGACTAACTGAGTCTACAGAGGCCCGGAGGGGGCCTGGGCGCAGGGAAGGCTGTTCTTGGAGGACAGGTGGGGAGGATTTGGAGGAAGAGCCCTCTCGAAGGAAGCCCAGGGGTATGAATCGGAAATCCCCAGGGCTTTTGCCATGGCCAGTTGGATCTATCTTCCTGATTGTAGGAAGGTCCGGCACGACCTGCTTCTCTACGGGAGAATCAGGCAAGTCAGGAAGAGGTAGGCTCACCTTTCTCTGGGGCCAGAAAGAGCAATCACGGGAAAGCTCCATGGACCCAGGGGTGGAGGCAGAAAGATGAAATTCCCAGGTCCTCCAGTCCCATCATTCCCCAGCCCTGCTCCAGCCTGCCTCTTTAACACTCATTGGGTGCCTTCATCTGCATCAGGACAGCTTGGCTCCTCTTCTTGCAGCAGCAACAGCCGACGCAGGCAGCCAGGGAGCAGGCCAGGGCGACAATGCCAATTACAATGGCGGCAATGGCCAGCCCGCTCTGGGCCTGGGTCATGCCCCAAACGCTGCGGTCATCAGTGACCTGAATGGTAGTCAGATCAGTGTAGTCTTCCACAGGGCTGGTTAGCTCAGTGGTAGAAGAGACGGATGTGGTGTCAGGGTAACTGGGTGTGTCTGGGTACCATGGTGTTTCTGGGTAACTAGGCACCTCGGGGACATGGACGCTTGGAACAGCAACGTTGACATTGATGATAATGAGGGACTGGCCTCGGACATTGGCTGGGCTGAAACACACAGGTACAGTGTCCGTCCCTAACCTAGGCTGGTTGAGCAGGAGCCAGTTGCGGAGCGGAAGGATGTCTGAGTCACACCTCCAGGGATTGTCATACAGCCGCAGCTCACACAGTTTCCCCAGGTGATCGAAGATGCCGAGGGGCAAGTTCTCCAGCTGGTTGTTCTGCAGCTGGATGGCCATGAGGCCATTGACGTTGGCGAAGATATTCCCTGGGAGCTGTCTGAGGCGGTTGTTCTGCAGGGAGATGTTCTGCAGGTTGGCCAACATGCGGAAGACGTTCCCGTCCAGGTCCTGCAGTGCGTTGGTGTGGAGGGACAGCTCCCGAAGCTCCGTTAGCCCGTTGAAGGCACCCGGGGAGATGAAGCTGATCTGATTGCGGCTAAGAATCAGGACCTGCAACTGGCGGAGGTTGCTGAAGACATTGTCGGGTAGAGAAGAGATGTGGTTGTCATAGAGCCAAAGCTCCCGCAGGTTGGGCATGGGCCCGAAGATCCCCGGAGAGAGCTCCTTCAGGGAATTCCCAAAGAGAGTAAGACGGTTGAGCTGGGGCAGCTGCATGAAGACGCTGGGTGGCAGCTGGGAGATGTGGTTGTTGGACAGGTAGAGTCTCTGGAGGTTGTGGTTGTTGTGGAAGAGACCAGGGGAGAGCAGTCCAATCTGGTTCTGCTGCAGAGCCAGTTCCTGCAGGTTAACAAGCCCATCAAAAGTGCCCATGGGGATATCCGTGAGCCTGTTCTCATACAGCCGGAGGACCTGGAGGTTGCCCAGGTGCTGGAAGACCCTGGGTGAGATGTGGGTGAGGCTATTCTTGCCCAGATTGAGCTTCGTGAGTCCTACCAGGTGGTCGAAGGCTCCGTCAGGGATGTATTCCAGGTGGTTGCCGTGCAACTGCAGCTCCTTGAGGTTGCTGCACTGGGAGAAGTGGGCCGGCTGGATCTGCAACAGCTGGTTACTGGACAGAAGGAGAGACTCGAGGCTGTCCAGGCCCTGGAAGAGGCCGATGGGCAGAACCTGCAGCTTGTTGTTGGCGAGGCTGAGATAGCGCAGCGAGCCCAGGTTTCGGAAGGCCCCAGGCGTGATGCGCGACAGCTCATTCTTCTCAATCCTCAGGGCGATGAGGGCTGAGATATTGAGGAACGGGGACTCATTGAGTTCAGTGATGTGCGTGTTGAGGATCTGCAGGCTCATGGCGTTCCAGGGCAGAGGGGTGGGCACTGCCACAATGCGTGCCCCGGTGCACTCCACCTGGGAGGCCCTGGAGCAGGTACACTCGCTAGGGCAGCCATGGTAGGCCAACCCTGCACCCCAGGCTTGGCAGCCCACCAGCAAAAGGAGATAATGCTTCAGTGGCATAGCCTGTGCAAGGGGAGAGAGCACACGTTAGTCAGGGTCCTCTACCTGACACTGGCAAGTTTTAAGCCAACATCAACTCCAGTGCCAATGCTGGCTTGGCTTTGAACCCCATCATCACATACTGAACACATGCTCTCTCTGCTCTGAACAGGAAGCCTCTGCACCTTTGCCCTGCCTTTCTGCTTCCATGCCTTTGCCCAGGCAATTCTCCCTACCTGGAATGTCCCTTGTCCTTATACAAAATTTTCCCATGCTTCCACGTCCAACTCCAGTGCAATAACCTTTAGGACACTTCCCAGATTCCATGAGTCAATCAGTTACCCTTCCATGAAGTCGTCTTCCCAGTCTCCATCATTGGCCACGGTGGCCTTGGATGTCATTCACTGTGTCCCCTGTCTGTCTCCTTCCCCAGTCAATAAGCTTTCCACGGACAGGGAGTCCATCTTTCATCCCTACAGTTTCCTTAGGGCGGGAACTGTATCTTATCCATCTCTGTATCCCTCACATCATCTGAATGTGCTGGTTAAGCACAGCCCTGTCAGGAGGAACACAAAGGCAATGGGAACAAATAAATAGGGCTGAACCTGGGGGAAGATGGTGAGGCCACAAACACGGTAGCCTGCCGGGAGGTGCAGCAGCGGCGGCAGAGTTAGGACCACAGAGCTGGGATCTGCCTGAATGACTACAGTGGAAGCAGCTCTTCCTCACCCTCGCCTGGGCCTGCCCTGCCCAGCCCATCACCACCAACCATCACTTAGCCATCTGCTAGCCCTTTCACCTGTGCTTCATCTAGCTCGAATTCAAACCACCCTCCCAGGAAAAGGCAATGACGTGTCTGCACCATGTCCTGCCTCGCTGGGAGAGGCTGCTGTGGCTTAGCTGGTGCCCGAAGCCAGCCTTGTGGGTATAAGTCCCAGTTTCCACAAGAAACACTGGGGAGTCCTTGAGTAAGTTCCAGGAAACCTACTGAGATGTACTTTGAGCTAAAAGATGGTAGGTCAGGTGTGGCAATGTTCTGAAAATGGAGGCAAGTTCATGGAAATGTTGGTGTTTGAAATCACTGATGACAATGACATATATAACTGTGTGTGTGTATGTGTGTGTGTGTGTGTGTAAAATGTAGAGATATGGGACATAGGTGCTGGTCCCTATATGAATATTTAAGGATCACTAACAGTTTCACCTTGCATGAAGCTTGAGGCCTGCAAGCTTCAGCTCCCTCGTGTGTGAAGAGGGGATGGTAACTCCCGCCCCGTTCTTGGGGCTGTTGTGAGGAGCGAATGCGGAAAGGATGCAGGGTCATCCCGGCCAGCGCTGTGCAAATGCGTGCCTTGTTCCATGCTTATCCACAGCATGGACCCTATAGACTCCTCAAGTCAGGAGGGCTTCAAAGTGCTTCTGGTCTTGGCATTCGTAGTCAAGGAACTAAGAATTTCTGTGTATATGTGAGAGTATCCGCAACTTCCACCAAAGGTTCAAAGGTCCAAACTCCTGGAAGATGCAGCAATCACTGCCGGTCACTCATTCCCATCACTTTTTGGGGATGCAAGAAGCAAGGAAAGGCTTCTGAGCTTAAAGCCCAGGTCTCCAGACCCCTGAGGAAGTACTTTGAGTGTTAATGCTGTGTCTCCCTTTCCATGAGCAAAAATCCTGAGTCAGAGGAAGGAATTTCAAATGATGGCACAGAAGCCATCAATGGTTGGGTAAAGAAGGTATTTCTCTGGTCTCTGTCTGTGGCTCTGAACTCACGGGGTCTGGAGCCTGGCCCACGTCTCAGAGTAACCCAGGCTTCCTAATTTGGCCTCAGCCCCGTGCACCCCTTCCCTGCCCCCTCAACAAGCTTACTCTGAGATAAAAACCTAAGCCCATTCCCCAACCACACAGACCTTGATTTTGTTTTTTTTTTTTTTTTTTTTGAGATGGAGTCTCGCTCTGTCCCCCAGGCTGGAGTGCAGTGGCATGATCTCTGCTCACTGCAAACTCCACCTCCCAGGTTCAAGGGATTCTCCTGCCTCAGCCTCCCGAGTAGCTGGAATTAAGGCGCATGCCACCATGCCTGGCTAACTTTTGTATTTTTAGTAAAGACAGGGTTTCACCATGTTGGTCAGGCTGGTCTTGATCTCCTGACCTCGTGATCTGCCCACCTCGGTCTCCCAAAGTGCTGGGATTACAGGCATGAGCCACCGTGCCCGGCCAAGACCTTGATTTTTTTACTTGTTCACAGCCCATGGAAGCCCTGACCTGCTATACTTTTACATTAAGAACTTGACTAAGCATATAGAACAATGGAAACAAGAAAGGAAAAAGAATACCTTGTCCAAAGGCATCTAGATGCAAAGGAATGGGGCCAGGTTATGCTAGGGACACATCTGAAAAAAAGTAAAAACTTATATAGACAAATGTCAGGTCCAGAACCCAGCAACAGAAAACAAGCTGCCTAAACAGAATACACCAAAAAAAGTGGCTCAATATTCACCCTAGGAGAAGACTTAGGACTTTTTACTAACGATAACAAAGGAAGGAGGCTGCCCACAAAAGCTAGTGTGGTCTGAGACTGGATTAATAGAAGAAGTATCACATGTGGAAAAAAGGAGGTGATGGTCTCACCCTGCAACTGCCCTGACGTGGCCACACCTGTAATGCTGGGCTCAGTTCCACTCTGAACTTCAAAAAGGCTAATGGCAAACTGACTTCCTAAAGAATTCTAGAGGATGGCAAGGGGATCTAGAAAACAGAACATCTGAGCATCCATTGAAGGAACTGTGTCAGCACCCTAAGACATGGTGAGAAAAAAATTAAATTAAAATTAAAATGAAGGAGCTGTGGATGAATAAATAACCAGAGGAGGAGATGCTGTGAGGAGTCTACAATCACTTTCCTAGCATCCCTGAAGGGCTGCCACGGGATACAGAAAGAACCTAGCTCAGTGTGGCTTCAGAGGTCAAGCGGGTGCAGAAGTTATAGAGTAGCAGATTTCAGTTCACACTGAAAATGGGCAACCTCACAGAGGGAGTAAGCTCACTGTCACTGGAAGCAATCAAGCAGAGGCTAAAGCAATCACTTGGCAAGCAAGCTGTAGAGAAGACTCCCATGCCTGGTAGGGTATTGGACTGGAAGACAACTGGTGTCCTGTCCATTCCTAAGACCTTAGGATTCTAAGGCTGAGTTTCAGGGCATGAGAAAACAATCTGTCCACCAAGACAACGGTGCCTGTACTCTTAGGGGTCTGCGTGGACAGTGTGGGTATTTGCCCATCTCTTTGGTGTAAGTGTACGTGAGATATTTACTGCCTGGGCTGACGTGCAAAAGGTGGAGCTTGAATTGCTCCTGGAGACAAGCTGGCTGGCACTTATATTTAATGTACACTCATATACCCAGCATGCTTCAAAACGGTGTCACAGCCCAAGTGTCAGAGACTAAATTAAGTGCATGTCACCTGGCCAGCCCAGGGCAATCTTGAGTTTCCCCATCTATGAAGGACAGTGTAGGATGAGGCACCCTCTGAGGACCCATCTTTATGTGGCTTTCTAGGAGTCTGCACTCCCCAGCTGGGGAGGGGCATCAAGCCAGCCCAGGAAGGGCTTGTGCCAGGGAAGGTGCCCCTTGACCTGAGAGGACTGCACAGATAATTCCCTATGGGAACAGGGCCACCACTGTCTAAAATGGGCCACACTCAGCATGACAAATATTGCAAGAATTTGCAGATTTTCCTCTGTATAAATCCTCACATCTGCAAAGCCCATCCCAGCACCACATGCAGCAGTTTCCTGTTTTCCAGCACTTTCCACTGCTGTGGCTGGCGGCCAGGGCTCCACAGGGCCTCCAAAGTGCTCCCCTGAAACCCGGCTGCAAAGCCCGCAGGGGAGGGAGGGGCCACAGAACCAGGACTGACAGCTGGGCCCTTGGATTCTCAGCATGTGATGCCAGCTCCTGCAGTGGCCACAGCCTCTAGGAGCCCAGCACCTGGAGGCCTAATAGCCCACGCTGCCTGGTGCTGCTTGGCAGCTCTGACAGATGGCAGTTAAAGGGCCACAAAGCTGCCCTAATTATAACTTCTCCCCCAGGCAGCCGAGAGCGTCGTCAATCACTTCAGTGACTCAGTCCAGCCCCTGTCCAGCTCCTGGGAAGGGGGAATAGCCTGGTGTCTATCACTGGCCCATGAAGTCAGCAAGCCGAGCAGACAAACCGAAGGACAGCCTGACAGCTCTCCTGGGCGCTCTGATGCATTCCCTCCCCGTGAGCAGAAGTGCACGAACCAGGGCTCTCGGCTTTGGGTCTCAGCAGAAGCACCGTGACTCACGAGCAAACGCGTAATTAGCCTCGAAGCCCTGGGCTTTGTTGGTTGGTGGGTTGGGACGTTTTTGGTTTAATACCATCGTTCACATTCCCTGAACACGAGGTTTCCTGGAAGGAGACTCCTCCTTATTTTAATGACACAGAGCATAACTTTTGGAGGGAGGCTGGAAGACCAGCGTTCTACTCTGGTTGACACTAAGTTGAAGTGTGAGCTTAGGGAAATTCTCCAGGCCTCAGTTTCCCCTTCAGTAAAGACGTCCAAGGGCCCTTGGAGCTCTGCTATCTTCTGATGTGAGGCAGGAAGGAAATTTGGCCTGAAGCCCCTCATTCTCCTCATCTTCTCTTCCCCAGAGGACCTGCTGGACCTCCAGCAGGGCCGCCCGGCCCGGCTCCAGCTTCATGCTGAGGCCTGAGGAACTCATGCCCATCTTTTCAGGCCCACCTGCCTCCAAGTTTCCCAGCCAGGGCAATCCCACTTAGTAATCAGCATGTCCGCACACAGCCAATAGCCGTTCCATGGAACCCAGGGACTGGGAGGGGCCTCTGGGAGCTTCTGGTCCTGCCCACTCCCAGTGCACCTGGGGAAACTGAGACCCAGAGAGGGGCTGTCTCTCCCTGGCTTCTCCCTTCTCCCCACAGAGGGCTGCCCAGTCATGGCCTTGTCTGCAGAGAGATGTCACCCAACAAGCCTGAGGGCTCCCGAGGAAGATGTCAGGCTTGGAGCAGCCAGGGTCTGTCCCCACTGCCCACAGCTGGTGCTGACCTCAATCACGCGCTCATGGGGGCTCAGGCCAGTGGGTCTGCCTGAGAGGCTTGGCCTGAAGCTCGGGCCTCCGTGCCTCCAGACCTCCCCATCTCACCAAACATCCCCTCTCCTGGGGCAGCACATAAAATCGCCTGGCTTGTTTAATAGAACTGACCTCATAGCGTTGCTGCTGTGAGGATTAAACGAGTTAATGCATGTGAAGCACTTGGGTGAGTTCTTGGCACAAAGTGAGGACCCAATAAACGTTTGTGACGATTGTTATTTTTGTTGTTGGGTAAAAATCAGAATCTCTGGAGACTCCACCCGCAGAGATCCTGATCCCTAGGTCTCAGCGGGGCCCAGGATTCTGCATGTTTTACAAACTTCCCAAGTGACTCCAATGCAGGAGTCCACAGAACATGCTCAGAAACACCACGTGAGGTCTAGACTAGCCGAGAACCCAGGCTCAGACCTTTTGTCACTGACCGCTGAGAACGAGAGGACCCGGGATGGGGGAGGCCGCAGATCCTGCCACAGGCCTGGCCCCATCCCTCTACCAATATTTCTCTCAGCGGCCCCTTCCGCATCCCCATCAGGAACTGCAGTTTGTGCTGAGTTGAACCTGGCAATAGAAGCTGCTTCCAGAAACGGTACTTAGAGCCTGGAGCATCAGAGGTGCAAGAGCTTTCTGAGTGCACCTAGTCAAACCGTCTGCTCATTTTGTAGTTGGGAAAGCTGAGGGGGTCCCCAGGGAGCAGAGACTTGCCCAAGGTCACACAGTCCGTTGGGGACTCCTGACACCCGATCAGGGCCCCTAACTACAGAGTTTGGCAAATCCCTGAGCCTCATCACCGGGATTTGGGACCTTGTCAACCACACGCCTGGCAGGGCCTGGGATTGGGGAGGAGGTGGATTTGCACCCTCCAGCTTAAATCAACTGAGGCTCATACAATCCACCTTCCCCCTGCCCAGCATGATTCGCCAAGGGCAAGTGCTTATTTCAACTACCAGGCTGCATGGGTTCAGGGATTTCTTCTTTAAGGCTGCTCTGATGCTGGTGTTTGTTCAATTCCACCTGAGTCTCCTGGAGGACTGTAGGGAAGGGACAGAGGGTTCACCAGAAGGTGTTGACCCCTGTAATCTCAACAACAAGGCTGGAGATGGAGTCAAGGCTGCAGATGGATTTGTGATGAGGGGTGTGTGGATCTTTATTTTTTTATTTTTATTTATCTATTTTTTTTGAGACGGAGTCTTGCTCTGTCACCCAGACTGATGTGCAGTGGTGTGATCTCTGCTACTGCAAGCTCTGCCTCCCGGGTTCACACCACTCTCCTGCCTCAGCCTCCCGAGTAGCTGGGACTACAGGTGCCCGCCACCACACCCGGCTAATTTTTTGTATTTTTAGTAGAGACAGGGTTTCGTCGTGTTAGCCAGGATGGTCTTGATCTCCTGACCTCATGATCCTCCCGCCTCGGCCTCCCAAAGTGCTGAGATTACAGGCGTGAGCCACCGCGCCCGGCCAGTGTGTGGATTTGAAACTGGGACAGCTGCACCTTTACCTGTGTCTCTGCTCAAATGTAGAGGCAGGACCTGGGGCCAAGGTCACAGGCCCCTGATTTGGGAATACTCCACCCCAAACAGAAACCTTCCTTGAACTCCAAAGCAAGACTGGCCACACCCTCACCGTCCACCTTGATCAAGCGGGGACCCGCGTCTCTCATCTCTCATGGCCCTTCAAAGCCAACATGTTGCTTATTGTTTGAAAACAGAAAATCAGTTAAAAAGCGCAATTCCTTTCCAGCCCTTCTGTTGGGGATCCTCCCAGGTCTGGCTTCCTGCAGAGGCCAGAGCAGGACTGTCATTAGCCTGGCAAGGGTGGCAGGAGAAACTGACAAACCGCCCAGCAGAACAGGAGAACTGCCCCAAAAGGGCTCTTATGACAGCAGCCACGGGCTACAAACAGCCCCCTTCTCAGGCGGGCACCTGGGATCCCAAAGTAGAGAGAAATGGATCAGCCCCTGATCAAAGCATCTGGAAGCAGGTTCTAATTTCTGTGTCCAAAAGCCAAGACAGGCCATAAATCTGAAGCAGCAGTGACTCCTTCGTGGTCAGGATTCAGGGCAGCAAATTGCCATGTGTGATCACAGTCTGCTTACTGGCAGGACTGAGTCGGGACAGCTCCTCCCCCACCCCTTATTCTCCACGGCTGGATCTATTCTACCTCGCCTCACCACCCCGCCATTTACTGAGCGAGCTAAGGGAGTGTTCCCTAGCCCTGGGAAGAACCTTCCATGACCTGACTGTCTGTCGAATCTATCCAGAACTTACCCTGGCCCCGAACCCTCTCACATGCCTGCCTCATCACTGCTGAGCCCGCCCAGCTGACTCAAGACCACAGGCAAATTGGGCTGTCTGGCCCTGAATTTACTCCAGATGTTCAGTCTCTGCAGAATGAAGGAAGTGCCAGCCGTTAGAGCACTTCTAAATTAAGGAGCCAGTGGCAGCAACACATCTGAGAGCTGCCCAAGGTAAAGTGACGCATCCCAGATAACCCCAAAGGAGAAGCTGGCACGTGGCAGACAGGCACCTGGCACCTGCGACTGGAGCACACGTGTCATCTCAGAGAGAGTGCAGCTGCACCGAGGTGATGCCCTGGGCCCGGGAGGTGGAATGGCTCTTGCACTTTGGCAGGGGTGGGAGAGTCCTGAAAGCTCTGGTTTTCCACAGTTGGTTTCTTGGCCCCAGGTCCTGCCTCTACGTTTGAGCAGAGACACGGGTCAAGGTGCAGCCGTCACAATTTCAAATCCACATACCACCTCATCACAAATCCATCTCCTGCCCTGACTCCCTGCTCAAAGCCTCCAGGCTCCACAGAGGCCGACGCTTCCAGCAGGAGAGAGGGGAAACTGCCAGCATAGTGTCCCCTAAGCCACACTGTTAGAGCCTGAACAATGCTGAGCCCATGTCCGAATTCCAAATTGGAACTGCAAACCAGGGACCAGCACATCTGCTGAAGTTACACTTGCAGGAGTTATCCATCTATGCAAAGCAGACAGCTCTCTTGCCTGGGAAACCCCCATGAAGGAAGGTCTTGGGCAGAACCAAATGCGGGGCAGACCACTGGGAGCCACCAGGGCAAGTGCCAGGAAAGATGGCACAGGCGCAAATAATCTGAACCTTAAAAAGAGAAGTTCTTCCCCCAGTGGATCTAGATTCCAGAACGGTCAATCCAGTGACAAGGGGGGTGATAATTTAGTCCACTTTCAGCCCAACTTGCTGGTCTCAGACATCTCAGCACCCCAGGTTGACATCATGAGCCGCTCAGGGCAAGGGGCATAAGAGGCTGTTGAGGCATCAGCAGAGGGGCTGGTGGTCCTGGTGTCCAGGCAGTGAGGGAGACAGGCTTGCACCCCTCCAGCACAGGCTGCTTCTGTCCCTGTCCCGAGAGCATCCCCAGGCACATGTCAGCTCTGCCCCTTCTGGGGTCTCCGAGGGGAGCAGGTCCAGCAGAAATGGGAAGGGGCTGGCCGGGCCCTCTAAGCAGAGAGGAGGGATGGGGGTGGCTTGCCTACTTACCAGCAGCTCGGCGCCCGCCCGCCGTGGACAAGAGGGAGCCTGAGAGGAGGACGAGGGACGGCTCAAGGCTGCAGCATGAGTGTGGCTCGCCTAAGCTGTCCCGGTATTTAAACTATCCCGGGCGTGAGTCACTGCAGAGGGCAGTGTTGGCCCTGGGAGGGGGGACTGTGGGCCACAGTGCAGTGCCTGCATGTCCCGGGCTGACACTACAGGGTACACATAGCTGGCATCCCTAAATGTAAGGGGTTTGCTTCAACCGTATTTAAAAACTCAGGACACATTTTCCTCTTTCCTTCTTTCCCCCAGTGTATCTTTTGGATTCCTTCACTGCATTGGCCACCGTGAGAGGGGAGTTTACAACGACCCGGTAAACCCCTCCCTAAGTGACTGTGGACCCCCTGCTGCCCTGCCCTGGCCAAGGAGACAAGGACCCCGAGAAAGGGATGGAGCAGGATTCAGGGGCGTTTCTTTGCTCCTAGAAGTATTGGCAAGTGCTTCTCCCTGTGGTTCTAGAAAACTTATTCATTCTTCTCTTTCTTTCTTTCTTTCTTTCTTATTTTAAACTTTTTATTTGGCTTTAAATTTACAGACAATTAATGTGTTTCATCTGTTGTTAACATTTTGGAAGAAGCATTTACTTTAGATTCCAAGGAAAAATATAATTACGACCACTGTGTCCCCTCTAAAAACAGCATTTCCGATTTCCTTGTGATGCTGGGGTCTTTGCCATTACTGCTGCTCTGAGAGGTGCAGGCACACACATCTCTGGCTTGGGGACGGGCAATCAAGGGGCATATTTGGGCGTGAGGAGCTTCCCTATGCCCCTCACCTCTGCATTACAGCCCACACACTGCTGCCCTCTCTACCCCCGTCCCCAGTGGGGACAAAACTGTTTCTATTTGTGGTATCCCCAAAAAGGCCTGGGGAAGAGGATACAGGAATCATAGTTGGAGGGGCGGGAAGGCTTCCAAACCCCGGCTTCTCCTCCGAGATGGAGCCTCAACAAGGCCTGAGCTGCCCCAGGCTGAAGCCACCCTGCCTTTGCCTGGCTCGGTTTACCCTCTCAGCTAAGTGGGGAGAGTGATATTTACACACAGTGCCTCATGGAGTGCCAAGAGGCTTAATTAATATTTGCGCTGTGTTTTGAGATCTGCGATGAAAGGAAGATATAAAAGTGCGTAGTGTTATTACTGAAATAGTTGCTTGGGTGGCTTGTCATGGTCAAGACCTACAGCCTGAATCACGCCACATTCCTCCTCACTGTGGCACCGTGATTCAGAGCCGGAAACAAAAAGTGTCTTGTCCACTAAATAACAGGAGCCCAGGAGGGGCAGGCACTGCTTGGAGTGGCTCCACACAGCTTGAAGCCCCATCCCTTCCCCCACCAGCCTTGTTCCCACGTGCAGAACACCTTCCCTCTTACGGCCCTGATTCCTCCACGTTCCCAAATCAGGTACTTTAACTTTTCTCTTTTTTTTTTTTTTTTGAGACGGAGTCTCACTCTGTCACCCAGGCTGGAGTGCAATGGCGCGATCTCGGCTCACCGCAGCCTCCGCCTCCTGGGTTCAAGCGATTCTCCTGCCTCAGCCTCCTGAGTAGCTGGGATTACAGGCACGCACCACCAGGCTCAGCTAATTTTTGTATTTTTTGTAGAGATGGGGTTTCACCGTGTTAGCCAGGATGGTCTTGATCTCCTGGTCTCATGATTCTCGTGATCCACCCGCCTCAGCCTCCCAAAGTGCTGGGATTACAGACGTGAGCCACCGCGCCTGGCCACTTTAACTTTCTTTCCATAGAACCTACAAGAATAAGAATATCCCTCTTTTTCCTCTTCCATCCTCCCTAATCCTAGCACCCAAGCGCTCTGTGTCGGGCACTGTGCTGGGAGTGGTGGACAACACAGGGATGAATCGGCTGCATTTAAAGATGGCTATTTGGGAAGCACCTGCTGTGAACCAGAGACCCCTTGGGTACCTCACTGCAGCTCTCCATCATTTCACCTCCACCAGCTTTCTCGGCCTCACCACGTGACATTTGGAGGCAGATAATTCTTCATTGCAGGAGCTGTTCTACGTGTCGCGGGAGGCACCATGGCATCCCTGGCCTCTGCCCTCTAGATGCCAGCAGTACCCCCCGATCCAAAAGTAACAAAATGTCTCTAGACATTGCCAAATGTCCCCAGGAAGGGGGAGTTTACACAAACACATACACACACACACACACACACACATTCATGGTTGAGAACTACTGATCTGCCAAATAGTCCTATGAGTGGCAGTAATTACCCCCATTTCACAGACAAAAAAACTGAGGCCCAGGCCTGTTAACTAATTTCCCTGCAGCCATATGCTAAGTGACAGAGCCAGAGTCCAAGCCTAGCCCGTGGGCTCCATGCCATCTGCACACCACTGGATCCTGTGCTTGGGCACACAACCCCCATGGACGGAAGTTCGGACTGACGCAGAGCGGGGCTGGGAGAAGATGGAAGGAGTGAGGTCACTGACAGATCCTTCCTCGGGGCAAGCTTGAGAATGTGGGAGCATTTCAAGGGATGGACCTGGGGTGTCATGCAGAGGGTGACCTTAAAAGATGAGCAGGCTCAGCCGGGCACGGTGGCTCACGCCTGTAATCCCAGCACTTTGGGAGGCCGAGGCGGGCAGATCACAAGGTCAGGAGATCGAGATCATCCTGGCTAACACGGTGAAACCCTGTCTCTACTAAAAATACAAAAAATTCGCCGGGCGTGGTGGCGGGCGCCTGTAGTCCCAGCTACTTGGGAGGCTGGGGCAGGAGAATCACTTGAACCCAGGAGGCGGAGGTTGCAGTGAGCCCAGATCCCGCCACTGTACTCCAGCCTCGGTGACAAAGCAAGACCCTGGAAGGTGAGGGGAGAGGGTAAAGGAAAGCCATCCAGTCAGAGTGAGCAGGAGAGAGAATGTGGCTAGAGCCCAGGCTGTGTGGCAGGGCCTCACTGAGGACTGGGATGATCCCGAAGAGTGGAGTCCTCTGGAGGCAGTAGGGAGCCACCAGGAGTTTTGGAGGAGGGACAGGCCCAGGTGGAGCCATGCTGTAGGAAGTGTGCTATGGGGGTGGGGGGGTTCCAGCCTTCACAGAGAACTCTCTCTGGCCTTCATGACAGCGCATGGGTTTCCACACCGTAACCAGGCCGTGCAGGAAGGAGCAGTTCCCCAGGTTGGAGGTGCCGTGGACATCGGGCTGCAGGACTCCGGGTTTCCACACATGGAGGCCCTCTCTTCCCCAGAGAAGCACCTTCTCCTACGGAGGAAGCAAGGCAGCCCCCAGGCAGCCCCCAGAACAGCCGCTCCGTTCCACTAATGAAGGGACGGGACATCTATTATTATTGGAAGGGAAAGCCTGATTTACCACCCGCAGGCCCTGTAACCTCAGGGCTCACTTTCCAGCCCCCCTGGGAGAACCGGAAGAGCTGGGGTCGCCCCAGGGCTTCAGGGAACTCTGCTATCTCCCGCCCTCGCATGTGTCTCTATTCTAGTTAACAAGCACAGAATCGGGCACTGGAGGCCGTGGGACCCAGCCTCCCCTCGGTGGGGCAAACCCCTCCACAGCACCCTCCATAGCTGGCGTTAGCATCCCTGCTCAGTTCACCTCGGGGTGGGGACGCTGTGACCACACCATTGTGTCCCCTGCTGGAGCGGCAGAATAAAAAAGATGGAGAATGCCTCGGGCTGGTAAGGATGACGGTGGTCTCACACTGTTGATGGGAATATAAACTGGTAGACCAATAGCTATCAAAATCCAAAAACCCAGGCATGGTGGCTCACGCCTGTAATCCCAGTGACTGGGGAGGCTGAGGCAAGAGAATCGCTTGAGGCCAGGAGTTTGAGACCAGCTTGGACAGCATAGTGAGACCCCAACTCTCCCCCACCCAACAAAAAAAGAAACTCAAAGTGTGTAAACCCCCACATACACAGACATGACGGTGGGTGTGCATACAGCGATACGTTCAAGCATGCTCCAGGCAGCAAGACTGGCAACAGCAGATCACTGTGAACCACTCAGATGTCTGTCTGCAAGACAGTGGCTGCGCACATCATGAAAATCCATACCAAACAGCCAGTTTTAAAAGATGAGACAGATACATCTTTATTTGCAGAAGAAAAACATATCAGATGTATTAAGCATAAAAGCGAGTCACAGATTAATATATATAATATAATTGCGCTTACTGGCTTAAGAAAAAAAGACGTAAATGTACAACTCCTCAGTTATACCTCAACACATGGGAAAGAGTCAGGAAAACAATCTTTCTATTTGTCAATCATGATCACACAGAAAGCCAGAAGACGGTACGTAACATCAGTCATCCCACTGAATGGCCCTCGGTGTCTACAGAGTCAGCCTGGGATGGCCATCCAGGGCTCTCGTCTCCGCCTGGTTCCCTCCCACCTCTCTCCTGCCCGGGTGCCCCTCCATCTGCTCTCCCTTCAGGAGGCAGAAAAGGCCATGAGAGCCGCAAGGTCCCAAGGGGCAGCCAGTGGTCCCCAGCTCATTCCCAGGTCCTGGCTGTTCTCTGAAGGAGGAATTTTAGGTTGTTCCTCAGAGCAGCATATCTCAAGGACACACAGGCATCCCTTTTGCTCACGAGGACAGCCTCTCATAACAGGACTGTGTTGGAGCATTCGGCCACCTGAGTCTCTGTGGATGTATTCAGTTTTATAGAAAACTTTCCCTGACACGGCTTAAGAGGAACAAGAAAGAGCAATGCAGGTGTGAGAAATTTCACCCAGCTATATGGTGTGTGTCTGTCCGTGTGTGTTTGTATCACACATATATACACACACACACGGGTGTCTTTGTATCTATATATAAATGCATAGAGAAAGATCTAGAGAGACACATACAAAATTGCCACAGCAGTGGAGGCAGGGAGCAGTGATAAACAAGGCTGTTTATAACTATGTGTTGTTTAATGTTTCATTTAAACAAACATGCATTCCTGAATTACATCCGGTAGGTAATTAGAACAACTATTTTGAAATATAAAAATAAGGTTCTTTTTTTTTTTTTTTTTTTTGAGATGGACTCTTGTTCTAGCTCCCAGGCTAGAGTGCAGTGGCACGATCTAGGCTCGCTGCAGCCTCTGCCTCCCGGGCTCGAGCGACTCTCCTTCCTCATCCGAGTAGCTGGGATTACAGGCACACACCACCACGCCTGGTTAATTTTTTTGTATTTTTAGTAGAGATGGGGTTTGGCCATGTTGCCCAGGCTGGTCTCGATAAGGTTCTATTTTTTACATCTTTTTCTTAAACTGAAACCTGCCTCCCTGGGCCCTCCACACTGGGCTCTCCTCCACCCTTTGGGCCCCATGGTGCCTGCCCTTGCCCGTGTGAGGCCCATCCATTCCAAAGCCTTCTCCTCTCCTGCACCCTTGGAACTGCCCCACACAGGCCCTCCCCGCAACCGTCCTGATGGGTCACCGGGGAGCCCTGCATTCGCTCAGTAACTGAGCAGCCGGTAAGCGGCAGGCCCTGAGCCAAGTGCTGGTGTACAGAAGTTAACCCACTCTAAGGGGCTCACATACATGAACCATCCGCTTCCAGCGTAAGGCCCGTGTGGGATTGGTGCTGTCATTCAATGAGCTTTGGCAAGTGTGTAATGACATGTATCATCATCATATAGCATACAGAGTATGTACACCACACGGAATGTTTTTTTCATGGTAAAGAATGAAACGTTTATAGACTGAGTGACATGTCCAGTGGAGTCAATGTCTAGTGGAGAAGGAGGGAAAGAAAAGAGGAGAAGAAAGGAGAGAGGAGGGGAGAAGGGGGGAGGGGAGGGGAGGGGAGGGGAGGAGACCAGACTCTTTTCTTCTTGAAACAGGCCCCTAACACCCGCCTAGCGCTCAGCAGGAGCAAAAGGGCTTTTCCTGTCACAGAAGGAGCTCAGGTTCCCTGATGGCTTCCAAATCCCAGCCCCGTCCATCCCTGACCTGCCACTTTGAGCCTCCTTGTCCCCATGTGTGAGCTCAGATAACAACCTGCCCCACTTGACTGATGAAAGGATTAGAAGGAGAATTGTGTGTGCAACGCCCAGCTCAGGGCTTGATCACGGCAGATTCCCCGTCAGTGGGAATGCCCC
The DNA here is from genome assembly GCF_000001405.40 of Homo sapiens. Taxonomy (NCBI): domain Eukaryota; kingdom Metazoa; phylum Chordata; class Mammalia; order Primates; family Hominidae; genus Homo; species Homo sapiens. Next base: position 194,375,781 of record NC_000003.12, read on the forward strand.
TCCCACTCCTGTCTTTCCCTGTTTACAGGGTTGTTGCTGCTTTGTCAGCAGGAAAAAGGCAGCCTTTGAGGAAATGACTTATTCCTACTTATCCCAAAGAGGTAAAATTTAGTCTCTATAAAGTACTACACACCATCCTCATACAGGAAGAATGAAGCCAGAAACACTAAAAATATATAGAATAATAATAATGGGACAAACAAGCAAACAGTCACCTTCTTAAAATCCCCAGTGACAACTCCCAGACTCATGTCCTGCCATACCCGGTAATTAGTGACGTTTCTCCAAAGGCAAGTTTCGTAAGATGGCCCTTGGTCCCCGGCCTCCCTTCCTCATGGTGATGATGCGTTCAGAGTCAGGAGTGTCCCAGGGAGGCTGTTTGGTCACAGTGTCGAGCCTGGGAGCGGTGGGTCAGGGAGAGAGGAGTTCACGCATAAGAAAGCAACCCTCCGACCAACAACCGCTTTTAAAAATGGGCCAAGGATCTGAACAGACATTTCTCCAGAGAAGATATACAAATGGCCAATGAGCACACGCAAAGATGCTCAAATCACAGTCATGTGGGTTGCTATCCAAACAACAGACAATAACAGGCGTTGGCAAGGATGTGGAACACTGGGACCCTCGTATGCTGTGAGCAGGGATGTAAAAATGGTACAGCCGCTGTGAAAAACAGCGTGGCAGTTCATTGAAAAGTTAAACATAGATGACCGTGCGATCCCATCATTCCACTTCAGGGTGTGTACTCCAAAAAACCGAAAGGAGGGACTTGAACGGATATGTGTGTCTCTGTGTTCACAGCAGTGTTATCCACAATAGCGAAAAGGTGGAAGCAGCCCCCATGTCCACCGACAGAGGAATACGGATAAGCACGATGTGGTCTAGCCAGACAACGGAATATTATCCAACTTTTACAAAGAAGGAAAGGCCGGGCGCGGTGGCTCACACCTGCAATCCCAGCACTTTGGGAGGCCAAAGTGGGCGGATCACCTGAGGTCAGGAGATCGAGACCAGCCTGGCCAAGATGGTGAAACCCTGATTCTACTAAAAATACAAAAACATGAGCCGGGTGTGGCGGCAGGCGCCTGTAGTCCCAGCTACTCGGGAGGCTGAGGCACGAGAATCGCTTGAACCCGGGAGGTGGACGGTTGCAGTGAGCCAAGATCACACCACTGCACTCCAGCCTGGGTGACAGAGTGAGACCCTGTCTCAAAAAAAAAAATAAAAAGGAAGAAAATTCTTCCTTAGACATTGTGCTAAGTGAAATAAGAGAGCCACAAAAGGACAAACACTTTATGATTCCTTTGATAAGAAGTATATAAAATAGTGAGGCAGAAACTAGAATGGTGGTTTTCAGGAGCTGGGAGAGGAGTGGGGGATGGGGAGTTAGTTTTTAATTAGGGACAGAGTTTCAGTTTGGAAAGATAAAAAAATCTTTGAAGATGGATGGTGATGGTTGCACAAAAATATGACTGTACTAATGCCACGGAACTGTGCACTGAAAATGATTAAAATAGTAAATTTGGCTGGGCGCGGTGGCCCATGCCTGTAATCCCAGCACTTTGGGAGGCCGAGGCAGGAAGATTACCTGAGGTCAGGAGTTCGAGACCAGCCTGGCAACATGGTGAAACCCTGTCTCTACTAAAAATACAAAAATTAGCCGGGACTGGTGGCACACGCCTATAATCCCAGCTACTCAGGAGGCTAAGGCAGGAGAATTACTTGAGCCCAGGAGGCGGAGACTGCAGTGAGCTGAGATCGTGCCACTGCACTCCAGCCTGGCTGACAGAGCAAGACTCTGTCTAAAAAGAAAAAAAAAAGGAAATTTGATGTGTATTTTGCCACAATAAAAATTTGGAAAAATTGATACATTTTATGTTATGTAGATTTTACCACACACACACAAATCAAGCATCAAATGAAATCATGCTGGAGAAAGTTGAGGACCACCATTTTGCTGGTGAAATGTTCTATGACATTAAAAATTAGTCCTTTCTGAAAACATTAGGTATTTTTTTAAAAGACTACAGAAACCCAATCTAAGCAAGCTGGTCCCTGGTTCAGTGTGGGCAGGAACCGGTCATAGAGCTCACCTCACTGCTCTGGGATGAACTCAGCTCCCCTCACCCCACAGGCATGTGCTGAGGTGACAGGAATATGAGCCATCTTTCCTTCCTTCCTCTATAATTTTGTCTTTTTTTCACATTTTTCTGTAGCTGATGAGTTTTATAATGGAAAAAACATTCCTTGGAGTCTCTCTTATTTTATTTTATTTTATTTTATTTTATTTTATTTTATTTTATTTTATTTTATTTTATTTTATTTTTGAGACAGAGTTTTGCTCTTGTTGCCTAGTCTGGAGTGCAGTGGCGCGATCTCAGTTCACTGCAACCTCTGTCTCCCAGGTTCAAGCGATTCTCCTGCCTCAGCTTCCCAAGTAGCTGAGATTACAGGCACCCACCACCATGCCTGGCTAATTTTTGTATTTTTAGTAGAGACAGCATTTCACCATGTTGGCCAGACTGGTCTCGAACTCCTGACCTCAAGTGTTCTGCCCACCTCGGCCTCCCAAAGTGCTGGGATTACGGGGGTGAGCCACCACACCCGGCCGAATTCTTTCCAATTTAAAAACCTCATCCTCCATGCCAGACCCTGCAGTGTCTCTCAAGAGGAGCCTCCACTGCCTGGAATTAGCCCCCTAGCGATGTGCTCTTTCCCAGGTCAGCCATGCTGGTAGGACCCCAGGGAGGGGCTAGACTCATAGTCTAGAGGGAGCAAAGTCCCAGCAGATCTTGGTGGCCATTGGCTGGACTCCAGGTGGGCACTCCGCTCGAGGTCTGCAGAGACAACAGGAACCAGCTTCGGCCTCCTCCCCCAGAGCCCAGTCATGGGGTCCCAAGACACACAATGAGCATAAAGCACCCCAAAGTAAAATCTGTCCTCGAAAAATTAAACATAGAGTTAAGCAACGTGTCCTGAAGCACCAAAGGAGGGAAAGATTTGCCCACCAGGATTGATTAAGGAGAGGTTCAGGGGGTAGGTGCAGAGCTTTGGAGGGTGAATGGGATTCTGAAAGGGCCGAGGAAGTGGGTGGCCCATCCAGCTGCAGAGCAGGGCTGAGCAAAGGCCTGGAGGCAGGAAGGGAGGCTATGGTGGGAGACTGAGCTTTCGCAGGTAGCTGATCACCAGGCTCTCGCATGCTGGGTGAGCCACGTGGACTTCTTTCTACGGCTGACTGGGAATCAGCAAGGGGAGTGAGTGCGAGGGGTTCGTTTATTTTATCAAGAGACCAGAGCTGGGGGCTGTGGCTCACCCCTGTAATCCCAGCATTTTGGGAGGCCAAAGTGGGTGGATCACCTGAGGTCAGGAGTTTGAGACTAGCCTGGCCAACATGCTGAAACACCTTCTCTTCTAAAAATACAAAAATTAGCCAGATGTGGTGGCACACACGTATAGTCCCAGCTATTTGGGAGGCTGAGGTAGGAGAATCACTTGAACCTGGGAGTCGGAGGTTGCAGTGAGCCAAGATCACACCACTACACTCCAGCCTGGGTGAAAGAGCAAGACCCGTCTCAAAAAAGAAAAAAGAGACCAGCCCACCTGGCCCCACAGACCTGAGAAACTGCCTATGCTTCTCATTTTCTCATTCAAAGCTCGGATATGAATGTTCTGCCTGACTGAAGGTTACACAGAAACACAGGGGTACGCGGGCTCAATCCAGCCTCCAGGACAGCCTGAGCCCAACCCGTAAGCTTGCCACATGTCTTTCCAAGGCTGTTTTTCAAAGAACCCTCTCATTCCTCCCTTTCAGAGAGGTTCAGAGAGTTTGAAAGCAGGCAGTTAACAGGTAGAGGTGGCAGGGGGACAGGGCTGGGTGCAGGAAGCAGAAGGGAAAAGTTCTCTTTGGCCTAAAGCAATTTATTCAAGTCGCATTTAATTGTATATTTTAATATGAGACTTCCAAATTTTATGCCACAATAAAGCAGACTAGCCTTTGAAATGATAAAACTAACAACCTCATAGTCCTCATGGCTGGAGCAGCTGCCAGCGCGTCACCGCGTGTAATTAAAGGTCGGCGGCTGTAAGAGCAATTGTGTTTTCCTTGATTAGTACATGAAGGAACAGCTCTGTTTTGAATGCCCTGCGTGACTGGAGGTTACACAGAAACACAGGGGCACGTGGACTCAATCCAGGGAGCCCCATTCCTCCACCTCATTGAGAAACTCACCTTCCTCATCACCTCCCCCATCCCAAATTCCTCTCAGGGAGCAATCCAAGAAGGAACAGAGAAATGCCATTAGGCCGATGAACAGGTTCAAGAAAGACATGGAAGGCTAGAAACCCAGAACATGGACCTTAGCAAGTCACTTCTGCCTTTGGGAATCAGTGTCCCATCCAGACAGTGGGGACGTCACATGAGATAACCACTTACGGCAGCCTATCAGTCTATGAAAGAAATTATATCTTTTTACCCCATTTAATCTGGTAAAGAAGGACAAGAAGGAGGCAGAAGGGAAAGAAGGAAGGAGAGAAGAGAGGACGTGAGGAAAGGAGACAGCCAGGCAATACTTGTTCCCAGTTCATGCTTGCATCCTCCTTGGCTCATTTCAGAGCCTCTTGCTGCACTGCCCGCCACACGCATGGCAATATAGTATTAATGTGCCCAGCCCAGACAGCCGTTCAACTAATGCTAATGAGCCTCCGTTCCACTGTCAGAGCCGCCACCTGAGTCCTTGGAATGACAGACCTTGTTCTCCCCAGCATGAGCCATTTCCTTCCTAGCAAATTAAGGAAAATGACGAGCTTGCTCCTCACAGCAGAGGACTCTGAAGACAGGAGCATCATGACTGTGCTTCTTAAAAGTGAGCAGGTGGAATGAACAAGTGGTTGGCAGTGTGGATGCAGACCTGATGACAGGTGATGAAGAGGTGCGAGGTGCTGTCCAGGCTGATGTGGACGATCCCCCAGACTTACTCTGCTCTGACCAGCCCATCCCATCCCTCCGTGGAGGCCTTTCCTCCTGTCTGGAACGGAGCTGTGGTCCTCAGGTCTGGGGACTGTCTGAATCAGCTTCCTGGTCATGTCAGAGTACAATGGATCCACCTATCCACTCGTTCATCTATTAGTGAATTTATTCTTACCCCTCCTGGCCGCAGAAAGGATTTGAGGCAATTTAAATAATAATAATAACAAGATAGCATAAATTAAAAGTAGGAAGCGGCCGGGCACAGTAGCTCACGCCTGTAATCCCAACACTTTGGGAGGCTCACCCAGGTGGATCACTTGAGGTCAGGAGTTCGAGACAACAGGCCTGACCAACGTGGTGAAACCCCATCTCTAATGAAAATACAAAAATTAGCTTGATATGGTGGCACGCACCTGTAGTCCCAGCTACTCTGGAGGCTGAGGGAGGAGAATTGCTTGAACCCGGGAGGTGGAAGTTGCAGTGAGCCAGAGATCATGCCACTGCACTCCAGCCTGGGCGACACAGCAAGACTCCGTCTCAAAAATACATAAATAAATACATACATAAATAAATAAATAAAGTAAGAAGCAAAGAAGGAAGAAAGACAAAAGTGAGAGACTAAAATCCTGCAGCCAGCGGCACACGTGATTTATGCACTTGTCTGTATGGATGCTGGGCAATACAAATATCCACTTATTATTTTTTTAAAGGGATAGACTTGGCTGGCATACAGTTTTGCCCGACTCTTCTCCCTGCCTGGAATGCAGAGGTGGGAGGAGCTGCAGCCGTGGGGACAAATGCCACAGGCCACAGATGGTAGACGACGCCGTGGAGGTGCTGCACCGCCCTGGAGGGTCTGCCTCTGCGGTCGCTCGCTCCTGGGGAGGCACATGAGCACAGCCATCCCCGACTGGGCTACGCCAGCCTCTGCAGAGAGTCTGTTCCTCGCAGCCAATCAGGATGCTGATCCAGAAGGCAACTGAAGCCATGGCCAGTGGGAAACTGCCCAGGCGAGCAGAGATTCAGAAGGAGGGCGGGGCAGAGGCTTCGGGGCTCTCAGCGTTTAAAGGCTGGGAGAAGAGGTTGAGCCTGCAGGAGAGACCAAGGTGAGACAGCCAGAGACGGAGGGATGGGGAGGGGAACTCACCAAAGTAGACCATGCCTTGGCCTCTAAGCTTCCCAGCAGGCAGTGCAGTGGGGAAAAGGAGATCCCAACCATTTGCATGGCCAGACGCAGGGGTGAGGGGCTGGAGAGGGGTGGGGTACCCTGGGCCCGGGCCAGACGCAGGGGTGAGGGGCTGGAGAAGGGTGGGGTACCCTGGGCCCGGGCCAGATGCAGGGGTGAGGGGCTGGAGAGGGGTGGGGTACCCTGGGCCCAGGCCAGATGCAGGGGTGAGGGGCTGGAGAGGGGTGGGGTACCCTGGGCCCGGGCCAGATGCAGGGGTGAGGGGCTGGAGAGGGGTGGGGTACCCTGGGCCCGGGCCAGATGCAGGGGTGAGGGGCTGGAGAGGGGTGGGGTAACCCTGGGCTGGGGCCAGATGCAGGGGTGAGGGGCTGGAAAGGAGTAGGGTACCCTGGGCCGGGGCCAGATGAGCAATTCTCCTCAGGGTCCTTGCACAGTGGACGCTTTGTCACTTGGTCCAAACGTCCCCGGCAACAGGCCTCCTAACAACAGAGCCGGGAGTGCCACGGGGTCGTCTCAGATTTTATCCACCACGTGACCCCAGCCCCTCATGTCCAGCTTGGTTGAGGACGTATTTGAGGCCATCGGGAGGAGTGGATGAACTGCGTGTCTCCTTCCAGGATCTCTCCCTGAATAGTATTTCGTCGCACCTGAGCTTTTAAACATCAGGTGGCCGTGAGTCCGACCCTGACCTTTTGGCCAAGCGTTGAGGTGCAGGGCTTCCCCTCTCCAGAAAACACAGACTCACCACACTGGAGTCGACCTCTTCTGATGAAATCACGCCGCCTAAGAAGAGAGAGCCTTTCAATGCCCAACAAAGGAAACACTTGGTTAATCTGAGCAAAATCAGGAATTCCTCAGGAAGAAAGGAAGAGGCAGATGGGTTTCCAGCTGGGTATTTAAGTGACTTCCTATAATGCAGTCTATAAACTGAGTCCAAAGGGCTAGGCTCTGTTGAGGAGGGGGATGCCCTCAGGAAGCTGTGTGGCCTGGTTTCCTGTGATGAGCCCCACTTCTCCCGCAGGCCCCTCCTCGGTAAGGGAGGTCCGGGGAGCAACCCAGGCAGGGGCATCTGTTGCTTCACTGGCTCTCACACCCAGTCCCTGAGCTGCCCAGATGGCTCTGGTCTCCCTGCTGCCACAGCCTCAGGGAAACCCAAGAGCCGAGTGGTCCAGGGGCCCCGGGGAAGCAGAGAAGGTCCTTGAGTTCACGGCGCCGTCGTAGGGGCACATGGATGTCCATGGCCTGGAAAGGAACCTTTTTGCTTTTTTTTTTTTTTTTTTTGCAGTTGAGGGAACTGACTTTAGAGAAAACTTGGCCGGGGTCAAGCTGTGAGGAGCAACTGGGGGGTCCTCATTCATCCTGTCTCCCCAGCTTTGTGAGCGCCACATTCTTGCCCGCACAGGGAAGGCGCATTATCTGGCACCTCCTCACGGAATCTCACTTTTCCTAGCACAACAATGGGAGGTCCCTGGGTTGTTGCAACCTTACTCTTGCCCCTGTGGATGGCTTGGATTAGGCGCTCTTGGAACAATCACAGTGAGAAAGTGCTTTGTGACTTGTAAAGCTCTGCGTGAGGAAGGCCCGCTGGGCACCCATAAGGCACTGCGAGGCAGGCTATCCCAGGACTTGGTCTCTCCCTGTAGCATTTAGGGTTACACATTAGGTCAACAGGTGCTATTGTACCTGAGGTCAGAGCTCCTCCAACAGAGCCGTGAGGACAACAGCCAAGGTGCATTTCTGCAAAATGTGGTGAGGGCAGTAGGGATGCTCACGGGGACAGGGATGCCGGGGCGGGCACTTGCACCCTCTTCCACCTGCTCTGGGAAAGGGCCCTTTCTGCAGCTGCTTGAGTGTTCGGAGGGAGATTAGCAGGACTAGCCATTAAGGTGCAGCCTGGGGGAGGGCAAAGGGACAGGTGACAAATGAGGTGTGTCTTTGAAAGGATGGAGGCAGACTGAACAGGGAAGGAAAGTGAGGAGTAGGGAGAGACTCAACTCTGGGCATCGGAGCATCAGAGTGGGAAGGGCCCTCTGGTCCAGTCCCTCATTTTAGATGGGGACACTAAGGCCCAAGACGGGAAAGGACTCCCTCAAAGTCACACAGCTGGTCAGTAGCAGAGGGATGATCTGAACCCCGCTTTCAAACATGGCAGGATTGGCAGAGGGATGATCTGAACCCCGCTTTCAAACATGACAGGATTTGCATCTCGAAATGCCCCCCACTTTTCCATCTTCCCTAATCCCGTATCTGAAGCCTGAATATGGCCAGTGTGATCTGTGAGGTCCCCCCTTCTCCACTGTGGAGGACCAGGTGACCTGACACAGCATTATCAACCTCTCAGAGGAGAGTCACCTCACAGGGCCCTCCAATGGGCCACCTCACAGGGAAGGAATGGACGCGGGAGAGTCAAGTTGCAATAAAGGAAGGGCAGGAAGGAGGGAGAGGTCAGAGGCCCGGAGGGGATGCCCTGGGCAGGGGGAGGTGTGGGTGTCCAGAGGAAGAGGAAGGAAGCGGTGGACCAGACACACACTTGGGACCCCTCAGGTGGGCAGGGACCAGCCCTCCTGTAAGGACTATTAGTGAAACTATAACCGAGCTTTTCCAAAGACAACTAACTGGGAAAATAAAACCCGAAGAAGCATCTGTGGGCCAGGGAGAGGCCCCTTCCCTGGAAGAGCAAGCCGCAAGGAGCCTGCTGTTAGGACGGCTGGTGTTACATGTTTGTTTGAGGACATGGACTGATCCCAGGGCATTAAGCACCCAAGCCAACTCAACGCCTGCAGATGGCTCTTCCTCCCAGTGCAGCTCAGCTCCGCAAGTCCAAGGCCAATGTCTCAAGTGACCACTGCCTGGGCAGCAGGTTACACCCACACCCACCCAGCGCAATCCAGGGCAGGGGTGGCCGACCGCAGACCGTGTGAGGTAGAAGGAGCATTTCCCAGCCTCATGCCTGTCTCCATCAAATGCTGGAAATCCTTCTGGCTGTGGTTGCTGGGTCTCGGCCTGAGCTCCTCCCCGGGTGGGAGCTCATGGCGCACATGGTGACCACTCCGGCCCTGGAGGGTGCTGACCAAGGTCTTCCTTGGACGCAGACAAAATCTAACCCCCTGTATTTCCTACCAATTTGTCCTCATTTTGTCCTTTGAAACCACATAGGACAAGTCTCCTCCCTCTTCCTTGTATCACCCCTTTAACTGGTTCAACCCTGTAACCAGCAACCCTGAATCCTCTCTTCTTCAGGCTGAACACCCCTGGCTCTTTTATCCAGTTTCCATGTGGCTGGGTTCCAGTTCTTCACCCCAGCACCTCTCTTTCTGCACTCTACCCTAGTTATTTTCTACTAAACTCTCTCTGCTTGCTTAATGGCGGCTCCCAGGATTGAACAGAACATTTGGGTTGAAGGCAGTATTTTATTTTATTTTATTTTATTTTTTATTTTTTAAGATGGAGTCTCACTCTGTCACTCAGTATGGAGTGCAGTGGCATGATCTTGGCTCACTGCAACCCCCACCTCCTGGGTTCAAGCAATTCTCCTGCCTCATCCTCCTGAGTAGCTGGCACCACATGCATGGGCCACCACACCTGGCTAATTTTTGTATTTTTAGTAGAGATAGGGTTTCGCCATGTTGGCCAGGCTGGTCTCAAACTCCTGACCTCAGGTGATCTGCCCGCCTCGGCCTCCCAAAGTGCTGGGATTAGAGGCATGAGCCACTGCGCCCCGCCAAGGCAGTGTTTTAAATCCTCCCTGCTCTAGGGACTTAAGAAGGTGGCTTCTCTACACACCCCTTCTCCTTCCTGTTAGCCCATGTCTTGACTCCCTGACCCAAGCTTCAAGGACCCAGACAGGAAAGCCACGCTTGCTCAGAGGCAAAAAATTATGAACACCTGTGGCTCATAAGAATTAAATATGTGTGACAAATCCTGATTTTCGAACACCTTTATAATAAGAAAGAAGAATATTGAGCTCTCTTAAGAGTAGTGGAGTCAAAAGGGGGATGTGCCCCAGTACCACAGCAGGTGTTGAAGGGACCCTGGGCCAGGTCCTTGTCTGGATGCCGGCTCATGCGTGACATGTTGGGCCAGTCAGGGGAGAGTTCACCCCGAGCACCTCCTACGTGCCCAGTTCTGTGCCAGCGCCATGGGAGAAAAACTAATTAATACATAGCTCTTACCCCAAGGAGCCCAGTTAGGAAATCAGCGCATAGAGAATTACAGTGAAATGTGCTAGAGGCTGGGATGCAGACACCAACATCGCGAAGGTTCACTTCCTATCGTGGCCGAAACGAGGGATCACAAACCCGAAACAGACGTCACCGGGCTAACGTCAAGCTGTCAGCAGGGCTGCATTCCTGCCGGAGGCTCCAGGGTGAACACCTTCCTTGCCTTTTCCAGCTTCTGGAATCTGCCCACACCCCTTAGCTCACAGGCCCCTTTTCTCACCTCACAGCCAGCAGCGTCCCGTCTTCAAATCTCTCTGACTCCCCCCTCCTGCCTCCTTCTGTCCCTTACGAGGACCTGAGGGATCATCTAGGATCAGCTTATGTCTCAAGATCCCTCACCTAATCACTCCTAACGAAGCCTCTTTTGCCATCTGAGGTAACATATTCACAGGTTCTCTGAGATTCGAAAGGGGACATTTTGGGCGGCCATTATTCTGCTCACCCAGGGAACAACTAACTCGGGCTGTGGGAAAGACCACATTTGAAAGGACCCTCTAAAGGCTCTGCAGGAGGTTTATGCAGAAAGAAAAAGGAAAAGGAGATTTATAAAGAAGAATACACTTGCCCAAAGCATCAAGACAAGAAAGCATGGCTCGTGTTTGTCCTTTTTTTGATTGTTTGCTTTTCTTTGTTTACTTTTCCACAAAGAGCCAGCATCTGCCTGATTGCCTCTAGCGCTGAGAGGCTCACGACTTTCCTAGAAACCCATCTTCTCTATTCAGTCCTGTTGACAGCTCTGAACGGACGATCTTCCTTAAATTGAGCCCTGATGTTTTCACAATCACCGGAAATGTTAGTAGACCTCACAATGCCCAGGAGTGACTTAGCTGGACCACGGTGAAGTACTGTGCAGTGGGAGGATCATGGTATGCAGGGGGTCTGGTATATCCAGGAGGTTCTCTGAGGCTCATCCTTGGAGAGATTGTGTTCTTCTTAAATGCACCTGGGCAGGTGGCCAGGTCAATGACTTAGCAGAGCAATACCATTCTCAAAGCTGGGTGCTCTGCGGAATTTCAGACGCCATCTCCTCTACTCCTTTGCTACAAATCAACTCAAAATAATTTGAACTGAGAATGAATTTGAACTTGAGCTTGAAGGGACAAAACCTTAGAAACCCTGACATTTTCCATTTCTCTTTTGATGTCATTGGGAACATAAACTGCTAGGGGCTTAGAGCTGAGGAGGAGGCGCAACCCTCTTGCCTTCGTCCTGAGAGCAAGCTGGGGTGCTGGCCAGCCTCAGGTAGGCCCTGCAGTGGAGGTCAGATGGAGGGTATGGGAGCTCTGGGCTGTGGGGCCTGTGAGGGAAGGCTTGCCTGGAAGGCCTCCTGCACCCCTGCTAGCTCTCTGCATCTCTGTTAGCCTCCTCATTCCTGGGTGTCCTTCATGCTGCGCAGGAGTGTTCTGGGTTCTGCTCCGGGGTGTAGCCAATGGGGCAGACCCCTGCCTTCCTGGTGTACCAGTGCCAGGAAAGCCTCTCCACTCAGGCGCACCTCCAGTTTACAATGCACTTTTACATCGATTGCCTTCTTTGGCCCTCAGAACACCCTGGTGTGAATGGGGAAACTGAGTCAGTGGCAGAGCTGAGACCAATTCTGCAGTTCCCAGCACACAAGGATGCCTCCTGTGGGCTCCGGATGGCTCCTGTTGTGTCCAGGCTGGGCCTGCAGTGACTGTCAGTCATGGCTTGCACCTGCATTTCTATCTCCTTTCTCTCACTTCCTTCTATCCCATCTGTTTCTCTCTCCACTCATTTTTCTCCCACATTCCTTTTTATTCCCACTGCTTTTCTCCATCTCATCATCCAAGACCTCCAAAAATAATGCTTAATTCTCAGGGAGCCCTCACTAGGCTTAGAGGACTAGAACCCCTGTAAGTTCGCAATGGTCTATGACCACGAAAGTGAGTGTCCTCCTGGCACTTGCATCCCCCTGGCCAGCAGGGCCTGGGTTGGCAGCTGATCCAGTCCATGCCAGGAGAAGCAGTGGGCAGTGAGGGCAGGGGTGAGTAGCTCTAGGCCAGATGGCAGGAGACGAGCTCATGTGACAGGTCTGCCAGCTCAGATGTGTCAGTGCCCCGTCGTGGACCTCAGTGTTGTCATCTGTAAAGTGAAATAATAATACCTACCTCCCACAGGGGTTGGAAGGTTAAGAAAACTGACTTCGTGATGCCAGGTATATATTAGGTGTTTAATAAAGGTTCATGGCCGGGTGTGGTGGCTCACACCTGTAATCTCAGCATTTTGGGAGGCCAAGGCGGGCAGATTTCTTGAGCCCAGGAGTTTGAGACCAGCCTGAGCAACATGGGGAGACCCCATCTCTACAAAAAATAAAAAAAAATAGCTGCATGTAGTGGTACATGCCTGTATTCCTAGCTACTCCGGAGGCTGAGGTGGGAGGAGTGCTTCAACCCAGGAGGTTGAGGCTGTAATGAGATGTGATCACACCACTGCATTCCAGCCTGGGAGGTACAGCCTTGTCTCAAAAAATAAAAACAGCTGGCTGTGGTGGCTCACGCCTATAATCCCAGCACTTGGTCGAGCCAGGCAGATCACCTGAAATCAGGAGTTTGAGACCAGCCTGGCCAACATAGCAAAACCCCGTCTCTACTAAAAATACGAAAATTAGCCAGGCGTAGTGGCACATACCTGTAATCCCAGCTACTCGGGAGGCTGAGGTATGAGAACCACCTGAACCCAAGAGGCGGAGGTTGCAGTGAGCCAAGATGGCACCACTCCACTCCAGCCTGGGCCACAGAGCAAGACCCTGTCTCATTAAATAAAATAAAACGAAATAATAAAAGTAAAAATTGGCCAGGCATGGTGGCTCACACCTGTAATCACAGCACTTTGGGAGGCCGAGGCGGGCAGATCACGAGGTCAAGAGATCGAGACCATCCTGGCCATCATGGTGAAACCCCATCTCTACTAAAAATACAAACATTAGTCAGGTGTGGTGGCAGGCACCTGTAGTCCCAGCTACTCCGGAGGCTGAGGCAGAAGAATGGCGTGAACCCGGGAGGTGGAGGTTGCAGTGAGTGGAGATCGCGCCACTACACTCCAGCCTGGCGACAGAGGGAGACTGTGTCTGAAAAAAATAAATAAATAAATAAAATCTAATAAAAACAAAGGTTTCATTGAGTGTGGCAGCAGCTGAAACACAGAGCCTCCCCTAACCCCCAGAGCCTGGACTTGGAAAGATCCATGCTGGGGTCATCAAAGCCAGGGAGCACCTGGAAGCATCGACAGGGAGGTGGAAGGCGGGCGGGCGTCAGGGGCAGATGTTGCTCATTGTCTTCTTCCTCTAGGCCTCAGCCTCCAGTACCCTGGACCCGCCCACTGAACTCAATGAATGTTTGTCTCTTTACGATGTTGATGGAATCATCCTGTAACATTCCAGGTGTCTAATGAGGGTGTGCACAGCTACTGGGCAGTGAGTCCTGGCATCGCCCTGCCTTTGGCACGCCCTGTAGCAATGGTGATTGTTTAAAAGCTGGGAAGCCCAGATTGACTTCTCCCAAAACAGACTCCATCACTTCCGATGTCACCAGAGATCCAAAGCCCAACTTTTGTGATGGTCTCAGAAAGTGAAGTCAATGACAACATGCAGTGGGGGAGAGGGAGGAGACAAAGTGAGGAGGAAACCAGGACAAGGAGGACCCAACTCTGCCCAAGAGAAGTCAAGGAAACTTCTAGAGCTGGAAACTCAGAGAACAGAAATAGTTGGACTTTCAGTTAAAAACAAACAAACTGATGAAACCCAGTTAGCTCTTCTCCCTCCAAAGACCTCACTTAGATGGCAGTAAAAGAAATTGAAATGGTATTAGCCCACAATGTCACAGGGAATGGGAGAGGATCAGCAATGGACTGGAGAGTTCAGCAAGTTTACAGAACAGAGCAGTTAAGGAGTAATAGATGAGGAAGAGAAAGCCACAGCCAGTGTGAGCAGAGAGATCCCGTCTACTCAATGGAACCCCAGAGAGGTGTGAAGATGGATTACACCGGTTATGATGTAGAAAAGGCATGATCTGTGGGAATAAAAGCTAGGGAGTTGTTTAAAAGCTATTATAGTATAAGGCACGGTTGTGTCTGTTCCCATCCTTAGGAAAACAAACAAACAAAAAGTTAATTAAAGAAATTGCAAGATCCTAGAGAAATAACCCTCTGCAAACATTCTGGCTTGTAGAAGTTCCCAGTGTAACACTCAGCTTGCTCCCCCATACCCTAGAATGAAGTTGATAACCTCTGCCAGTGTGCACAAAGATCCCAAAGTCAGTTATTTTTATTGCCTTACTTTAAAAATATGAACCAACAACCAAGGGTTTAAGAGAAGCAAGCAAGCAAACAACAACAACAACAAAATGAAATACCAGAGAAAAAAGATGTAGTTTAGAAAGGGGAACTTTGAAAACTCAAAAATCTTAAACTCTAGTATTCTTAAAAAAAAAAACAAACTGCATCCATAAGACAAGAATGAGTCTATTTTTAAAAATTAACAGTGATTGCAGAAGTTAAAAATACAATTGCAGAAATTAACATTTTTGCGTTAAGTGTTGGATGGAGTTGAGGAGTCTCTCAGAAGGTAGAAAAAGAAGGTAGAAAAAAGAGACTAAAAAGATGAAGAATAGAAAAAGCAAAAACAGATGAAAGGAGAGGACAAAGGAATTATCCAAAAAAGTATAACAGAATCTCACAAAAGTTAAAAGACATGAGTCTCCAGAGGACCCTGCAAATGCCCCTTTGTGTGAATGAAATAAAGAACAATGTATGGCAAACATCAAATCAAAATCAGAACAGAGGACATAGAGAAGATCCTAAGGATGGCTGCCAAGAAAAAGAGAGGTCCCCTGTTAACAATGACAACAAATTCCCACCAGCACCCTTGGTGCAAGATGATCATTTGAATTTAGAATTCTCTTCCCAGCTAAACTAGCCATCAAGTATGAGAGAATAAAGAATATAGAAATTTGCTGGCAAGGACTCAGGAAAGGGGATATCCTTTGGATCCCTTTTCCTAAGTAGTTGTAAAATGAGGGAGTAGAAAAGAAAGAAGACATGGAATTTGGGAAATTGTGGAAGCAACCAAGGAAAGCTGAAGATCAGTTCTAGGAAACAGCCGGATAGGCGGCCAGAGTGGTTTCTAGAAATGCTAGAAAAATGAAGGAAGTGCTAGAAAGGAAACGTAATGACAGTGGACTATTTGGCACTATAGTAAATAATATTTACAAAGAAAACATATGAAGTCTTTTTTATTCATTTTCAAGTTTTTCCACAGTCACCAAAATTTTAGCTATAAGAGAATACAAAAGTGATCAGTCTTGACTGAAACTGGGAGGTGGAAGAGATAGATGAGCATGGGACAAATAGGAATATAGATGTCAGTGCACAGAACAAGGCATTCATAGAGACCGTCTGCAGTTGCTGGAACAAGAAAAAGGTGAACTTTAAAGTTACAAATGTAATCACTGGAAGAACTACATATAGTGCCAGAACTTTTAAGTTAAATCACATGAAACTTGTTTTTTGTTGTTGTTGTTGTTTTTGAGACACAGTCTCGCTCTGTCGCCCAGGCTGGAGTGCAGTGGCGTGGTGTCGGCTCACTGCAACCTCCACCTCCTGGGTTCAAGCAATTCTCCTGCCCCAGCCTCCCGAGTAGCTGGGACTACAGGCGTGCACCACCATGCCCAGCTCATTTTTTTTATTTTTAGTAGAGACAGGGTTTCACTATGCTGGCCAGGCTGGTCTTGAACTTCTGAGTGATCCGCCTGCCTCGGCTTCCCAAGAAACTTGTTTTTTAGGTCAAAAATGGTTGAACATAAAAAATGTAATACAATTCAATCTAACATATGAGCAGAAATGTATAATATCAGTAAATTAAACTATTAAAAGTTTTTAAATCAAATCTTATTTTATTTTTTAATTTATTAAGAGATGGAGTCTCACTCTGTCACCCAGGTTGGTGTGCAGTGGCATGATCACGGCTCACTGCAGCCTCAACATCCCGAACTCAAACAATCCTCCTGCCTCAGCCTCCCAAGTAGCTGGGACTACAGGAGCGCACCACCATGCCCAGCTAACTTTGTATTTTTTGTAGAGCTGGGGATATGGCTATGTTGCGCAGGCTGGTCTCAAACTCCTGGGTTCAAGCAATCCACCCGCCTTGGCCTCCCAAAGTTCTGGGATTACAAGCGTGAGCCACTATGCCTGGCCTGGACTGGCATTTTAGACATCCTCAGGGAATATGAAGCTTCAGCAAAGCTCAGGTTATATTCTTACGAAAAGCATTAAATTATTTCTGTGTTTTATATAGCAGGTCCCTTCACCTTTTAGAGAGTAGTAAATCTAGCTTCTTTGTACAGACTTACAACTTATCTAAAGATTTCATCTTTTTACCTCATATTTGGGAGAAATTTCATGGATATATGTTGTCTGTTTTCCTATGCCTTCTAGCTCAAGCAACATATAGATCAATGTTAATTTTTTCTTTTTTAGATCTTATAAAAAAAAAAGCCAAAAACCCCACAATTCTTTGAAGAACGAAAGGGGGAAGCCAGCTGCCATGTCATGAGGACACTCAAGGGGTCCATATGGCAAGGACCCAAGGCTGCCTGCCGTGAGCCACCAGGGAACTGCCAACAGCGTGAGCGGGATATGTCGGAAGCAAATCCTCCAGCCGCAGTCATGATGATTAGAGCCCCAGCCAAGATTTTGATGGCAACCTCATGACAGACCCTGAGCCACAGCCACTCAACTAAACTACTCCCAAATTCTTGACCCTCAGAAACTGTGACGTAATGTATTTTATTGTTTTAAACCACCAAGATCTGGGGTACTGGTTATGCAACAATAAATACCGAATACACACATACAATAAAACCAGGCCACGAAGGTTTTCCAGGGGATTCTACAACACGTTCAAGGAAAAGATGATCCCAGTTTTTACGAACCATTCCAGAGAGAACGTCCCCACCCACTTTATGAGGCTGTATAACCTGATACCAAAACCAGTCAAGGATATTATTTTCAATGTATAAGCAAATCTCACTAATGAACAGATAGTAAAAGTTCTAAACAAAACAGCAAGCTGAATTCAGCAATATATTTTAAATACACATAGCATGGCTTGGTTTACTTCGGGAATGCAAGAATGAATTTACTTTTCCAAAATCTATAAATTTATTCACCATTTTAACACATTGAAGAAGAAAAATGATATGAGCATCTCAATAGTTAAGATAAAAATGGATAAAATCTAACTTTACTGATTATTTTAAAATATACTTAGCAAACTCAGACTAGAAACATCACATTTATTGATGAAACATTAGAGACCTACCCTTTGCAACCAAGATAGTTCTAAGGATGCTCACTGTTCTGCTCAACATTATAGTGGAGGTTTTAGCCAGTGCAGGAAGATATTTTAAAACAGAAAAATAAATCAATAATGGGTGTAAGGTTTTAATAGGAAGAAGCAAATTATCAGAATTATTACTAGACATAAGATAATTATGTAAAAATAAATTACATTCTTATATATTGGTAATAAAAATTAGAAAATACAACTTTTTTTATTTTTTTCTTTAGAAAATATAACTTTTTAAAAAGATGCCATCTACAATAGCAATGACAAATCAAAAAAGAGGAAGGATACCTAGGAATAAATCTAACAAAATCAGTGCAAGGTTTCTTTTTTTTATATACTTTAAGTTCTAGGGTACATGTGCACAACGTGCAGGTTTGTTACATATGAATACATGTGCCAGGTTGGTTGGCTGCACCCATTAACTCGTCATTTACATTAGGTATTTCTCCTAACACTATCCCTCTCCCAGCCCCCCACCCCCCGACAGTCCAGGCGTGTGACGTTCCCCGCCCTGTGTCCAAGTGTTCTCATTGTTCAATTCCCACCTATGAGTGAGAACATGCGGTGTTTGGTTTTCTGTTCTTATAGTGAAGGTTTTTATAAAAAAAATTCTAAAACATCACTGAAAGATTTAAAATGACGTAAATAAATGGGAAGATGAACCATGCTTACTGGCAAGAACACTAGGTATTGTAAAAAATACAGATTCTTCCCCAAATTAGTTTTAAATTTACTGCAATTTTTTTTTTTTTTTTTTGAGATGGAGTCTCGCTCTGTCGCCCAGGCTAGAGTGCAGTGGCACGATCTCGGCTCACTGCAACCTCCGCCTCCCGGGTTCAAGTGATTCTCCTGCCTCAGTGTCCCAAGTAGCTGGGATTACAGGCACCTGCCACCGCACCCAGCTAATTTTTGTATTTTTAGTAGAGACGGGGTTTTACCATCTTGGCCAGGCTGGTCTCAAACTCCTGACCTTGTGATCCACCCACCTCAGCCTCCCAAAGTGCTGAGATTACAGGCGTGAGCTGTAAGTTCTATTAAAATCCCAGCAGGGTTTTTCAATGGAGTTGACATGCTGACCCTGAAATATTCATAGAATTGCAAAGAACCAAGAATAGAAGAAAAACAAGGTGGAGAGATGACCCTATACCAAAAATTATTAAAGCTCCAATAATGGAGACCGTGAGTCTGGTATGGGACTAGACAAGTAGACCAATGGAGAACCCAGAAACCAACTCCCACAGCTGCAGAACCCAGAAACAAATGCCACGATCCAGCTCTCCTGCTCCACATCCACCTGGTGGTGTTGGAGGATCCATTGCTCTGGATTGTGAGCACAGAGTCTGGCCACCCAGGGCTGAGGCCATCCGCAGGGGAAGACAGACTGATGTGAATGTAACCTCCAGTCTGAGAAAGTTCGGACTTACCCTTATACACAGAGAAAAATACCAACTCAAAGCTCTTCTTTAGAAATCATGATGCCAATAATAATTGCTCATCCTTTAGTAATAATAGCTAACATTCATTAACATGTATTGCCTGCAGGCCGCTGGGCTAAGTCATTATATGCTTTATTGCCTTTAATTCTCACAAAAACTCTACGAAGCAGGTACTATGTTATCCTGTTTTAAGGTTCAGGAAACCAAGGCTTAGAGAATGTAAGCAGGTGTCTTACCCAAAGTCCCATGCAGTTAGTAAGTGGTAGAGCTGGGATTTGAACCCACAGTTGTCAACTCGCCAGCCCCTGTTTTAACCACTGCCTCTCATAAGCACAGACATTCAATTAAAGCAACAAAGGTTTTACGGCTTTCAGTTGGAAGAACAAATGAGACTGTGACAGCAGCTGAACTAGAATCAAGCTTATCATTATATTCATGAATACCAGTCACATGTTAACTGCTCCATAAATGCTTGTGAAATGAGGTGGCAGAGTTCCAGGAAATGCAAATCAATCCAGTTTCAAAATGACATGTTGCATGGATGTAAAGCAAGTGGAAACTCACAGGAGGCTCAGGAAACACGCTGGACCTACACTGGGCACCTGGAGGGAAGGCTCCGTGTTTTCTTCCTCTCTCAGCCTCACAGAAGTCGCTTATCCTGAAAATGCTCATGCATGAATGGAGTCCAGTGCTCTCCCAAGTAGCCCATAGGTCAGAGAGACATAAAGTGAGAAAAATGGAGCAAGGGAAAAAATGGCAAGAGCTCTACTTCTCAAATAAAATTCGATGAAGAGGGCCAGGTGTAGTGGCTTACGCCTGTAATCCCAGCACTTTGGGAGGCCAAGGCGGGCAGATCACTTGTGGCCAGGAGTTCAAGACCAGGAGTTTGAGATCAGCCAGGCCAATATGGCAAAGCCCCGTCTCTACTTTAAAAAGTACAAAAATTAGCCGGGTGTAGTGGCACACGCCTCTAATCCCAGCTACTCAGAACGCTGAGGCATGAGAATCACTTGAACCTGGGAGGCGGAGGCTGCAGTGAACTGAGACGGCCCACTGCACGCCAGCCTGGGCCACAGAGCTAGACTGTCCAAAAACAAAAACAAAAAATTAGATAGAGCAACAGCCTATCCTTTCCCTCCAGGAAAAGCCATCATCACTTGGATGGCATGTGTTCCTTTATCCACGCATTGATTTCACAAACATTTACCGGCTTACTCTGTGCAGGAGACAGGCCCCGGCCTGGAGCTGTCCCCTTACTCAGTAGACACTGAAGAGGCCCCTCTCTCCACCAGACGCCAAGCCAGGCACAGCGGAGCACGGATGGGTCCAACACAGTCCAGCGCCCCCGGCAGTGTCAGCGCACACCCGCGTGGGAGCTGGGGAAGGCAGGCAACCACAGTTTACAAACGTCAAGCTCAGTTTCCAGGAACGGGCGGGGGACACAGAGAGGAGGGGTTGCGGGCCTGTGAGAATGAAGAGCACAGAGCGGAGAGGGGGAGGAGGAGGGAAAGGAAGGCGTGGCAGTGAGAGAGAAGAGGAAGAAGAGAGGAGGAGTGGGGAGGGGAGGGAGAGCAAGACAGCAGCGGGTCTGGATTCCCCTCCGAGCCACATCTGGTCAGGTTCTAAGTAATTAGAAGATTTTCCCATTGGTTTACCCAAGGGCTCTCTCTCTGATTAATTTTCGAAAGAGTTGGCCAATTTTAATCATAGCAAACACGATGATCACGGTGATCATGGCCTGAACAGCTAAAAGCAGAAAATAAAACCCCCAGAACGGACTATGATCTTGACCTTTGCCCGTGGTCACCGGCTGGGCCCACACCCAGGGTTCTGAGCTGTTGGGAGCCAAGGCTGGGTGGACAGGGGCTTCCGAGGAGCTGTCCGCAGCGGGGCGGGGAGGCGGGCCCCGGGGGCCCGGGCACTCCGCGTCACCCCCCGGCAGGGCCCAGAGCGGCAGGCCGGCGTGCGCCCCAGGGCCTGCGCACCGTGGGGGCTCTTCCCCGCCCACGAGGCCTAGGTGCTGCCGCAGCCACCCCAGGAAGGGCCCCAGGCCACAGTCGCAGCGCCAGGAGTTGTGCCCCAACAGGACCTCCGTCAGCCGGGGCAGAGCCCCAAACACGTCGCCAGGCAGGGTCTCCAGCTGGTTGTGGTCGAGCTGGACGCTCTCCAGGCTGCTGAGATTGCGGAAGAGGGCACGGGGCAGGGCGCGCAGCCTGTTGCGGCGCAGGGACACCTGGCGCAGCTTGCCGAGGCCGCGCAGCAAGCCGTCGGGGAGGGCGGTCAGGCCGTTGGAGTGCAGGGCGAGCACCTGGAGCTCGCCAAGGCCCTGGAAGGCGCCCTGCGGAAGCGCGCTCAGCCGCGGGCTCAGAGTCACCCCTAAGTACCGCAGGCGGCTCAGGTTGCGGAAGGCGGCGGCGGGCAGGGTGCGCAGCTGGGTGCGGTTCAGCCACAGCTCCTGCAGGCCCCCCATCTCCCCGAAGAGCACCCCCGGGAGCTCTGCCAGCGGGTTCTCGAACAGAGTCAACAGAGTCAGATTGTGCGAATGAAGAAAGAGCGCAGAGGGGAGAAACGCAAGGTGGTTTCTCGAAAGCGTCAAAGAACTGAGGTTTGGGAGCCGGTCGAAGGCCCCGGGTGCGATGGAACGGATGTGATTTCGGTGGAACTGCAGCTCCGTCAGGGCGCCCAGGCTGTTCAACAGCCCCGAATCCAGAGACACAAGGCGGTTCGAGTGGAGCAGAAGTCTCTCGAGCTTAGCCTGTGCTCCAAGCAACCCCTTGGGCAGGTGGGTCAGGTTGTTTCCCGATAAATCCAACAACTTCAGGTTCTCCAGATTCGTGAAGAGACTGGCAGGAAGGAAATCGAGCTGATTCTGGTTCAGAGCGAGCTCCTGCAGGTTAACCAGTTTCTGAAACATGTTTTGGTCAATGCCCCTTAGCGCATTGTGGTCCAAAAACAACTGCTCCAGGAGCACCATCTTATCCAGCAGCGCACCTGGAAGATGCGTGATTTTGTTGCGCGACAGCCTCAGGGTTTTCAGTTTTATCAGGTCACTGAAGGTGCCGGGGGCAACGGCGGAAATGTGGCTGTCGGAGATCATGAGGCGCTGCAGGACGGTCATGCCGCTGAAGCTCTGGCTCTGCAGGACGCCGCGGCCCATTCCGAAGAGCAGGATGTGCGTGAGGTTGGTGGGCAGGCCTAGCGCGGAGATGCGCGCCACGTCGCCCCCCGAGCACTGCGCGGCGTCCCGGAAGACACACTTGCAAGCTGGCGGACAGGGGAAGGGCTGGGCGCGCAGAAGCCCGAGCACCGCGCACAGTAGAGTCCCCCTCAGCATGTCTGAAAAAGCAACCGTGGGAGTGTGGTCAACACACAGGAGCGTTCGCGCCTGTACTGAACCCTGGGATCCTGCACTTTGTGCAGAGGCACAATCCTTTCGCCAGAATTCTCACTCCCTCTTTTCTTAGGACTACAGATTTCCCTACGTGGTGAAAAGACACTCATTCTACACTGCGTGGCCTCATGCTTTTGCTTTATTGATTTTCCACTCTCAGTTTAAAGCATTGAGATTACAGAGTTTTCAAGCTACCGAATAGCCAATACTTTAAAGTCCTTACATAGAGAATTAAAATAATCATTCTCACATTCAAGCTCACAGACATCACAAAGCAATGTCCATTGTGAAAACGGCTCTGCTCTTGACTTTATAACTTACCCTGCATTGGCTATAACCAACAGTCAAGAAGGGAACAGCAAAGTCTGCAGCCACCACCATCTGATTCTTTTGCTCACAATCATGCTATTTCCACAGTACCAAGTTACTCTATTAAAGGACACCCCCAAAACAGCGAACACCTTCAATCAACAGCCAACAAAAGCATATAATAATACCTATCACTTTACGCCATGCATTGTTCTCAGCTCTTTATTTATACTACATGCATTTAATCCTTACAATAACCTTAGGAGGTAAGTATATTATCCCCGATTCAAGGATGAAGGCACAGAGGCACAGAAAGGCTCAACAGTATAACTAGGGTCACATAGAATTTGAGGGTAGTATTTCTGACTTAGCCATAAAGAGCTACTATTTCTAAGATGCTTAACTAAAGGTAATACTCACGGCACTGAATTTTCTGGGAAATGCACACCATACTACTAACCTGCCAAAACAATGTTTCCTAAGCGAAATTTTACATAAATTGCTTCTCGTGCAATTTTACTTCTCATGCACACACAGACTAAAGAGCCCTCTAATTTCCTATACTAATGTTTAAAATATTTGGCCTTACCTGAAATGGTTCTGCACTCCAAAGTAACTGAAAGACTTAGAGCTCTGCATGTGATTCGACACTTTCCACAGGAAGAGGGTGGTATCCTTGCATCCTGAGGATAAAGACTTTACCAGAGTAGGTCAGGAAAGGACCCTATCTCAGAGCCCTTGTTCTGGTTTTTAATGACAAATATCTTCAAACCGAGAGACCATATATAACCTGATTCCTACTGTCAAAGCCAAGAGCAGTGGGGAGAGTTTTTCCATAAATGGCACAATATAACTCTATGATGCCAGGGAAGTTCAGTGATACAGCTGGATCACTGCAGTAGCCACACCCCTAGATGGGCCACACTTCCCCTGGGTCTTCCTTTTCATGCCACATGGCCCTAATTTCCCACCCAGGTTTTTTTTTTTTTTTTTTTTTTTTTTTTTTTTTTTTTTGGTATGTGTTGTTTTTCTTTCTCCGCTTAGCAATAAAGCTAAGAACATTCTCAAATCCTCCATTTTTTTCTTCCTTTTGGGACTAATAAGGCTAAGAACATCTTTGAACTTGTTCAACAATGGCATTGCTAGGTTGCAGGATGCTCACTTGTTGTTTTTTTGGTGGGGGAGGGGGACTCTGTCGCCCAGGCTGGGGTGCAGTGGTGCGATCTCGGCTCACTGCAACCTCCTGCTCCCTGGTTCAAGCAATTCTCCTGCCTCGGCCTCACAAGTAGCTGGGATTACAGGCACACACCATCACGCCCAGCTAATTTTTTGTATTTTAGTAGAGACGGGGTTTTACCGTGTTGCCCTGGCTGGTCTTGAACTCCTGAGCTCAGGCAATCCGCCCGCCTCGGCCTCCCAAACTGCTGGGATTACAGGCATGAGCCACCACGCCCGGCCGCTCACATGTTCAGTTTAACTGGGGAAAGTCAAACTGCTCTCCAAAGTGGTTGTGTTGGTCTACGATGACACCTGCCATTTGTGAGAGTTCCTGTGCTTCCTCTCTGCCCACACGTGGCACTTCCTGCTTTTTGCCATTTCTATGAAAGATATCTCAGCATGATTTTAACTTTTCCTTTCCCTGTTTAATGATGAACTTGAACACCTTTTCACATAATTAAGGCCCACTTGTGCTTCATTTGAGAAAGCTGGGTTTCCTTTTGCCCATTTGTCTATAGGCAAAACGTGTCTACGTGTCTTTTGAACACACTGATAATGCTGTCTGCATTAAGACTTCCGGCCAGCCGCCCTGTCCGGGAGGGAGGTGGGGGGGTCAGCCCCCCGCCCGGCCGGCCGCCCCATCCGGGAGGTGAGGGGCGCCTCTGCCCGGCCGCCCCTACTGGGAAGTGAGGACCCCTCTGCCCGGCCAGCCGCCCCATCCGGGAGGTGGGGGGCGCTTCTGCCCGGCCGCCCCTACTGGGAAGTGAGGAGCCCCTCTGCCCGGCCACGACCCCGTCTGGGAGGTGTGCCTAGCGGCTCATTGGGGATGGGCCATGATGACAATGGCAGTTTTGTGGAATAGAAAGGCGGGAAGGGTGGGGAAAAAATTGAGAAATCGGATGGTTGCCGGGTCTGTGTGGATAGAAGTAGACATGGGAGACTTTTCATTTTGTTCTGTACTAAGAAAAATTCTTCTGCCTTGGGATCCTGTTGATCTGTGACCTTATCCCCAACCCTGTGCTCTCTGAAACATGTGCTGTGTCCACTCAGGGTTAAATGGATTAAGGGCGGTGCAAGATGTGCTTTGTTAAACAGATGCTTGAAGGCAGCATGCTCGTTAAGAGTCATCACCACTCCCTAATCTCAAGTACCCAGGGACACAAACACTGCGGAAGGCCGCAGGGTCCTCTGCCTAGGAAAACCAGAGACCTTTGTTCACTTGTTTATCTGCTGACCTTCCCTCCACTGTTGTCCTATGACCCTGCCAAATCCCCCTCTGCGAGAAACACCCAAGAATGATCAATAAAAAAAAAAAAAAAAAAAAAAAAGACTTCTATCCTTCAAGACACCATAAAAAAGGGGAAAAGATAAACCACAAACTAAAGATATTTGTAACACCTATAGCTGACAAAGGCTTAATGTCAGAAGATATAAAGAATCATGGGATCCAATCCCCTTTGATGCAGCCTAATGCAGTCAGAGCCCAGTAAAGGCTGGGTTGACTGAAATTACCTTCAAAGTCACGCAGCCCTGGACCACAGGGAAGAGCCACTGCCTCTGCCAGGTATCGCGGGAGGTCTTTCAGTTCCGATCAAGGAATGCAACTCCAGAGCCCTGAACTGCTACACTGGTGACCTGGTAAGTCCGTCATGCATAGGCACATCGAGTGAAAGCCTCCCCGCCCCCTTGCCCATGAAATTGCCAGGGAGCCAACATGACAGACTGGGAAGGCGAGCTGTGAAACAGAGTAAGATGCCGATGGCTCAAATTCCTGTGGCCCTTCTTTAGCCTATTTCCCCAGGAAAACCTCCAGTCAGAATGGCCTCTACATTTTGTCCCTTAGGAAGACACTTTGATTGTCCAGGAAGGGAAAAGTAGGTATGGCAGTTGCAGAGTGGGGGAACACTCTTAGTCCATCCACTGAGCAAGTTGATGAGGTAATGAGAAGTATTTGGAGCAAGGAAGTTGACAGCTCCAGTGCTTCCAAGTCTTAAGATTCTGTATCCATTACCAGGTCAGAAGTCTGCTGTAAAACAGTTACCTGGCTTAAGGGGCTTGGCTATTCAAAAGCAGGTCTGTGCCTGGGTGAGATAAGCCTTTTTCCTCTGAGGGAGACTCAGTGGGCCGGGCACAGCAGGGAGCAACCACACCCCAACTTGGACCACGGACAGTCTCACTCAAGCCCCTAGGACTCCCTGTCCCTTGGCAGTGATACAGCGGAAGGAGAGACATGCAGAACTGTGCCCACACCAGCAGGCTGTGGGGACAGGATCACACATGCCGCACAAACCATAGCGACTGTTAAGAACTTGAGCTAAAGGCAGGCAGGCCCTCACCCCCCGAATTCATCACACCACAGCCAGCCACATATTCCCTAGCAGGGGCTCCGTGTCTCCCGGAGCTGAGCTCCATGGAAACAACTCCCACCCACACACAAAGGTCCTGTCTTCTCTGGGATTTTTACAACCATTTTCTCTCTCCATGGTATTAGCTTTTGGTTTGATTCTCCCAACTATTAATAGATTATAAGTCCCTACTCTTCTATTTCATTTCACCATTGCCCTCAGACCTCCTCGCATTTAACATTTGGCTCTACACTGCATCCGACTGTGGGGTTTCCCCAGGATGCTCACACACATGGCATGATATGCAGAATGTTGTTCTTATTTCCTTCAAAATCCAGTTTTTTTTAAAAAAAAAAAAGAAGGAAATGGGGAAGTATTATTAGGCAGGAAAATAAATCCACAAAGGGCAGTATTCATGTCACTAAAAAGCAAACAAATGAATAAAGACACAGAAAAAAAGTGTTATTTCATTCATTAAAATTTTTATTTTGAATAGCTTCAATCAAAAAAGGTTTCATAAGATTATTTACAATGCTGAATGTACAATTATGAATGTATGCCTTTTTGACAAGAGGGTACCATTCTTGAGCAGCAATACAATTTTAAAAATATAAAGATGCAGTATCATTTCTGATATAAAGTTACTTAAAAAAATCCAAGGTCTTAGGGAATTCACAAATCATAACTAGAAGTAACTTTTATTAATTTAATGTACACATAATTACCAAATTTTAATACATTAAAAATGTGTAAATGCCCACAGACTGTACAAAAATTAACACCCCATTTTGTTAAAAGTTCCCAACCACCTCCCACCATAAATATACAAAAACCTATTTTTAGATATGTCAAAATTGCATGCATGAATATTTTCTAAAGCTTGAATTTTGCTCTTCACTGGATAATGTTATCTATAGCTGTTTCTGTAACAGACTACATAAACATTGATATATTATTTACCATGCCTTTGAAACTGTGCAGGACTTTCATAAACATGGGGAACAAAATAAATAGAGTAAAAACTGCAACAGTTTTGTTTAGATGCAAGTGCAATTGGGAAAGCTTTCGAATTTCAGGATTATAAAACTACTATAAAAGTATTTATTCTGTTGTTGGCTTAGCCACTTGTATTCAAGCATTATTTGCAGCATTGCTTTACAGCAGTTGGTGCTAGAAGATACAAAACATATAGTTACCACTATTTATACTTGAGGGAGAAAAAAAACTTTAAACAACCCTGAGGGAGACACACATTAAAAATCTTGTTATTTATTTAAAAAGTTAAAAAGTTACATATCATTATTTAACAATTACTTTCCCAGACATTTCTGTCCTTTAAGTATGTGCATAAATAAAATTTAAATCAGCAATATTCATCTTAATACATCAAAATAATATATGTACAGATTTTAAAATTTAGGTCTGTATAAACTCAAATAATTTAATGTGAAATTCAGAATCAAAATTACTATGTAATGGTAACCTACGAGAGAAGACTCAGTCTATCTATGGCACTGAGTAGAACCCACACCTGGCTTCACAGGCATTCTTCAAATAACATTCTCAACGTGAATAACCCACCTTGTCTATATTCAAATCTAACTTCCTACAAATGCTTTTCCAGCCACCTAAACACCTCATTCCTTTGAAAACAATATGGACAGAAGAGATATAAAACCCTTACTAACTCTAAATGTTAAAAAAGTGGGGGGGGGGTGTCAAAAATAGCTCTTTATGATCATGCTCTTAAAGATGTTAAATACAATCGGATAATTGAATTTTTAAGCTGCTACTTAGCAATTACTTTCATTATATGCTTCAGTACTTAAACCAAAGAATAAAATGCACAATTGTGGAAATCACTGAAGAATAACACGAGCATATTTGAAATTAATATGGAAATTATAAAATGATCCAGAGAATAAGTAACTATAGAAAATAGTGCTAATTCACAGCTCAAGAGGTCTAAGATGCATAGCTTCATAGAATCATTCATGGAACAACTGTTATCATCTAATGTGTATTAATAGCATATTATACATTTGATGGAAAACTTCGATTATATTTTTGCAGGAATCATCAGTGGCAATAGCAGTAACAGTGATCCTGAGTGTAATTTCTATTTTTCTATAGTTACCAAACATCATCCAGGTCTTTGCAGCATAAAGAGTGAGAACCATTTGGTCCTAAAATTCTAGGTAAAATTTGGTAAATTTGTAAATATATGTTGGGAAAAGAATGATCAGCTAGAAGTAGAAAGCACGAGCAAGCATGTTACTGGCTCTGGAAGAACAGAGAACAATGTCACACTGTTTTCATAGTTTAGCGTCCATTTTATAGCACGATCAGTTTTCTGTGTTGTGGTAACTGTGGGCGTTGCCAGACTGCTGGATCCACCTATAAAAGGTGTTTTTTAAAAGTTACCTTAATTTTGGCAAGAATTTAAATGTTAATCAGGCCAAACAGAAAGGTGAAAAATGTTTCTCCACATCTCTTTTGGCTCAATGAATGTCAATTTTTTAACTTTATTTCCTCAATTTTTTTTCTCCCAGAAATTTCCGCATCAAATATGCTCATTTGTAACGATCCAATTCAAAATAGACATGTTCTGACCTCTGGCGCCACCTAATGGCATAAAACAAACTCATCAAATTCATATTGCTTTGAAAAAACGGCAGCCATTCAAATCCAGTATTTTTTAAGCCTCATTATTGATAAGACAGAGACATACATCAAACCTCAAAAAATTTTATGAGGTAAAATTCTAACTTAAAAAAAACTATTATCCTATGTCTTTAGGTAATTGAAAACATAGAAGAAAATTTTAAAAAACCATTTAAAATAACACAAAGCCTGACAGAAACAAATTTGAAGAAACGTTAAAAGATGAATCTACATCTACTGCCGAAAGAAATGAATCTTATTTCCTAGTGAAAAAGGTTCTACAACATTTAACAGAAGCAAATTAGACTGCCAACACCACACATAGCACAGGAGCCATTTAAGAGCTTTGAGAGGCGTCTCAAGAAGGCAGTGAAGCACCTTGCTGATTAGAAAAATAAAACCCAGGCAGTTTGTACAGAAAATATAAAACCAGAAATGGAGATTACCTGAGTTGTTCTATAAGCAACACCATAAACACTCATTCCTAACTCTAGACCATCATAGGGAATTGGCATATGTTTATACAGAATTCTTTGGAAGAAACATTGGAATCAAATGAAAACAGGCTTTCAGTATATTTTCACTGGAGGCTAATTAACACTCATCTTCTTTTTATCAATCACAAACTTACAGCCTGTATATAAACACAGACTTTTCTAACAAGAGGGTTGTGAGCATAAATGTGAAGAGGTAAACTAGTCTCAAAAACTAATGTTGAAAAACCTACCAAACACCAAACTTCTCCTGTACCCAATATAAAGAATATCACTGAAAGTAACAATCAAGAAAATTCTGGAAATGTATGTAATATTTGGGTTGCTGAATGAAGATATAGGACTTTATGGATTGATTGTTAATTTAACTGTTAGGACGATATATTTTTCTGTTTTTATTTTAAGGAAGAGCAAAGCTGTCAAATAAGCTACTATATCAGAAGGGACATAAACTGAACTAGTGCCATTCTGACACACAGGATCAGAAACTCCTAAAATCACATATTCCTGAATACTGCTATCAGCAATACCACTGAGACTGATTCACTGCTATGTTATGGTGATGATTTGACATGATCCATTCTCCTTAACTAAAGCTTTAGCTTCTGTGGTTGTCTGAGGTTTTGGTGGCCATTCTGGATCAACCAAGAGCTCCTGCGCCAGATACATGTACTTTGCCTTTGGTGTCTTCTTTCTACAGCCCAGGGCCCAGGGTAAGCAGCATTTTCCCCACCGATCCACTGACTCCTAAGAAAATAAGAAAAAAACAAAACAAAACACCCCAGTTGATTAAAGGCTTGTCGTTTTAAACAGGTTTGTTAAAGCACACATTAGCAGAGAAAAATAAGAGGAAATGACTTCTGAGCACAACGAATGGGGGAAAAAAAAATCCATGTTAAAAAAAGGCAGCTTTGGCCGGGCGTGGTGGCTCATGTCCGAAATCCCAGCATCTTGGGAGGTCGAGGTGGGAGGACTGCTTGAGCCCAGGAGTTCGAGACCAGCCTGGGCAACACAACGAAATGTGTGTTCTTTTGTTTTATTTTGTAAGGGCAGCTTTCAATTATTTAGGAACTGATTATTCTTTAGATTATATTTTTTTTGGGGGGATAATCAATATGATTGACTTCATTTAGTTTTATATACCTATACTCTTGTGTACTAATACCTTTTAAATAACTTGCAGATATGGATTCTTTACCACAGAATATCTAATGTATTAAGAACTTTAAGCCATTCAGAAAGAGAAAACATTTTTAATATTTAATTTGAAAATCTTCACATTCTGTCCCAAACTATCTTTTGGTACTATTGCTCCTGGCAACTTAGCCGCATGATCATTTTTGGAAGAAAGCTGTGTACAAGTATCCTTGTTACTGTTAATATCATCTCTCAAAACATGAAGTAAATATCGTTTGGTCAAAATTAGGGCTTCAATCATGTTTAATGTCAATTACGTCTTTTAAAACCTCATCCTTACTAATATAAAAAACAATACTGTTTTATAATGATGGTTTCCGTCGGTGCTCCACGACTGGAAAGGGGTATAAAACAAGTACTATTGCTTAGTATTATTTCATTGCAAAAAGCTCTGCTGTCACTGAAATCCTTCTGATCAATCCTGATGTTTTTAGTGAATTTGGCCTTAGATAAATGATCCTTGGAGAACAAGAAAGCAGAGTCCCTGGTTAATGCATAGAAATGTAAACTCAATAGAGGGCTGAAAAGGGCCCTCAGAATTTGTCTCAATTGAAATTTGAAATAAATATAAATGACTACACCAGGACTCGTAGTAGTTATATTTACTTCTAAAGAACAGCCACTTCGTAATGATTTTGGCTGTTGCTTCTCCAAAATGAAATTTAAATTCCAGGTCATTTTGTTTTGCCAATCAACATATAAACCAGGCTACAACTAGCTCTAAATGCAGTAATCTCACAAGGTAGAGTAGAACATAACTGAGCTACATATTCTAATGTTACCCAAAATGCCTCATGATTTAAAAAGGCAAGTTAGCTATAGATGTATTTTGAAACATGTTTCTAAATTGGCCAATGGAGAAGAGCAAAAATACTTTAAAATTAAAGCTCTTAAAGCTTTTTCATATTAACTTGGTAGCTCTTTCTCATCCAGTTGAAACAACCATCAGGAACCTACCACTCTCTCCCTCTCCTCCCTGGCCCCGCTGAGAGCACGGTAAACGTGACTCACCGCTCTCAATGTTAAAGGTCTGCTAGCTTAAGCCTGTCAACAAAACACAATCAGCTGCACTGCTACCAAGAATTTAAAGGCAAAAAAGGTGGACAAAAGTAAGCTACGTGGCATTCTGGGGTGGGGACGGGGAAAGTCTGAAGATTACTCGCCTAGTAGCCTTTTTACTGTCATAACTAAAGAGAGTTATATCAGCATCACCTTAAAAAAAAAGTCCACAGGAAAATATTTAGCATTAAGGTACAGAAGTCACTATGTATAGGATTCTTCAAGTGATCCAAAATAACAGATAATGCCTTTCCAGTATAGGCACACAACAAACGTAATATTTCATCTGAGATGACAGTTTACTACTTGGATCTTACTTTTCTCCCAAGGTGTCATTTGTCAATCTAATTGTGGGAAAAAAACCACTGTTCCTAAATCAATTCGAAAGCTGTCACCTTTTTTTTTTTTTTTTTGAGACGGAGTCTTGCTCTGTCGCCAGGCTGGAGTGCAGTGGCGTGATCTAAGCTCACTGCAACCACTGTCTCCCGGGTTCAAGCGATTCTCCTGCCTCAGCCTCCCAAGTAGCTGGGACTACAGGCACGCGCCACCACGCCCGGCTAATTTTTTGTATTTTAGTAGAGACGGGGTTTCACCACGTTGGCCAAGATGGTCTCGATCTCCTGACCCCGTGATCCATCCACCTCAGCCTCCCAAAGTGCTGGTGGGATTACAGGCATAAGCCGCCGCACCTGGCCAAAAGCTGTCACTTTTAAGTAGCACTGTTAGATTACCACAGGAAATAAACTAATGTTGACTGCTGACTTTTTTTAAAAAAGCAGAAACATAATAGGACTTGTCTGTCCAAAGAGTCTGCCAGGTTGAACAGCAATGCGTACGTAGCAAGCTGAGTTAAGGAAAGCCAAACACACACATATCTCAATTCACTGTTCCCTACTTGTGGAAAGTAAGTCAACCAATAAAATTAAAATTAATTTATTTGCAAATAGAACAATAACTGAATAGGATTCTTTTTATGCATTGAAAAATATCCTCACAACCCTATTACAAACAGTGTACACGTGTCACAATTTTTAAAAAGTCATGAGGAACACTAAGGATCCCCCTACTGTACCATAATTGGAAACATTTTGTTCCTGTACCCCTACCTCCCCCAAGTATCATACACAAAAAGTACACTACATGCAAGCATAGGTTTGTTAGTTTACAAACACAAACATACCACACACATTCTCAAACACAATATAATTCACTGGAAGAGAAAATAAAAGGTGCTACAGGCATGCTGGAATGAGAAATCAGCCAGCGGGGAGATGATGATGATGAAGGGAGAAAGGCAAGTACTGTGTAACACAAAGGCCATGAAACAGGGCATCGGGGGCACAGAATGAGCATGTGGGTCTCTCCAAAACCTCTACGGCACAAGTCCCTAAAGCAGAACACAGTAGCTATAGCAACCGGATCTTTCAGTTTGTTTCTGAAAGGAATGCTTCAGTGACCAAATTCATCCCCTCAGAGAAGGAAAGAGGCTACCATGCATAGTTTAGCAGAGAAACTAAAAAGAACTTTCAAAAATGTCAAGTTTACGCTTAGCAATGTCTTTTAGGAAATGTTTTCATGGGCAGTATATAAAACAGAATGCCATGCTTGAAGGAAAAATGTTATAATGGCGCTGTGGTTTTCATAAGTCTTCTTCCATACCAATCCTGAATATAAAACAAACACAGAAAATCAGAATTAACATTCTGTCTACATAAGCTCAAATAATATTCTAAGTGGCATAAAGACTACCACTACACCATACAAACTACTTTTTTGGATTTTTCACCAAGGAAGAAAACATAAATTGGGCACAAATCCTCAGGCATAATCAAATTACAGGTAGTATGATTCTAGTTCCACTACTAAGTGCCCTCAGTTTACCAGACACAAGCTAGGCACAAATGCTTCTAAAGAGAAGATACGACACAGATCTCCTGAAACAGGGTTGCTTTATAGAAAACCACAGATGATGGGGGTCTCCACCGAAGATTTCCATTCAGTAGGTCAAGGGTAGAATTCAAAGCATTTCTGATGAATAATCTTGCTTGATAATCACTGACGTAAAGAATTTTTTTTTTTTTTTTTTTTTTTTTTTGGTCAGAGAGTAAGTATTAACACCCGGGGCTGCCAACTGTGACAACCAAAAATGCCTCCAGACAATGCCAAATGTCCCCTGGGGAAATCACCTCCGATTGAGAACCACGGCCTTATGGTAATATGATTAACTAAAGACTGGCTCTTGAAGAGCCACAAACATTAACAGTGAAGCAACACTACACAGAAGTAGCAGAGAATGAAAGTATGTCACTTTGTGCTGGGAGGTTATAAGAACTCTCCTTCCTAAAGCCAGTAAGTTTTTAAGTCTTTAAAAAATGCACCTTAATCATGACCACAGAAACGGAAGACTTAAATTCTTGTCTATTTGATGATTCTCAGAATCAGTTGACACACAGGGTGTGCTGGGGCCCACCTGCTCTGGACCACTCTCTACCTTCACTCTCCCATGAACACTTCAGAGGTAGAAACACAAACTTCTAAAAATTAGAAGGGCAGGCCAAGCGTGGTGGCTCACGCCTGTAATCCCAGCACTTTGGGAGGCCGAGGCAGGCAGATGGCTTGAACCCAGGAGTTTGAGACCAGCCCGGGCAACATGGCAAAACCTCCTCTCTGCAAAAAAAAAAAAAAAAAAAAAAAAAAAAAAAAAAACTGCTGGGCCTGGGATGGCATGCACCTGTAGTTCCATCTACCCAGCAACATGGTGAAACCCTATCTCTACAAAACAAACAAACAAAAGTTGCCGGGCATGGTGGCATGCACCTCTAATGCCAGCTACCCGGGAGGCTGAGGTGGGAGGATCATCTGAGCCTGAGGAGCTCGAGGCTACAGTGAGCCATGATCACGCCACTGCACTCCAGCCTGGGTGACAGAGTGAGACCCTGGTCTCACAAAAAGAGAAGGGCAGATATTTCCTAATAATTTTTTAGAAAACAGAGACCAAAAAAAGAATTTTCTATCATTTAATTTTGGTTGAAAAGCAAGGAGAGTCTTCCAATCCAAATATTTTTAAGGGGCCTTATAATGCCTACTTTCAGCTAAACCGGGGTTACTCCCCTTCAAAACATGCAATTTCTTGTTCAGATCAATAGTCAGAGATCTCTTGGGAGAATATGAAAAATCGGAATGTTTTCCTAGGCCTAGGAATACAATACGAATATTTCACATGAGAGTTGATTACATAAGCCAAAGATAACCTTCTGAAGTAATGCAGTGAGGTAACTATATATATGGGGGTGGGAGGGTTGGGGTGTTGGGGTGTGTGTGTGTGTGTGTGTGTGTGTGTGTGTGTATACACAGATGAGATTTTGCTAAACGACTTGAGCCCCTTGTACAACCCTAGTCATACGCACTACTAGGGACAACTGGTATTACACTGCTTTCAGGAAAAAAAAAAACTGAGGCTGACTGCATTCCATCATTATTCACCATAAAGCATTAGAAAACGGAAATGGTACTCTGCAGGCCCTCTTAGAAAGCAAGCCTGTGGCATTACACCAGGACATCAGGCCTGCTGGATGACCAAAATAAA
This sequence comes from Homo sapiens, assembly GCF_000001405.40. NCBI lineage: Eukaryota > Metazoa > Chordata > Mammalia > Primates > Hominidae > Homo > Homo sapiens. The sequence goes on from NC_000003.12 coordinate 194,411,212, forward strand.
GCTCAGGAAGGTACCACTTAGGTAAAAGTTGGCTAAAACTAAGTGGGTAACCCAACTCAAAAATGCCAGGGAGTCCTCTTCAACTCCACCAGCTTCCTGTGGCTCAAGGCTGAGTGAAAGACTCAGAGCTCCTATCTGTAAAGCACATCACCCATCTCTAAAGAAAAATGGGTAAGGCAATGAAGGGGTGAGATTTTATCAAATTCTCTATGCCTAAAAAGCTGCCTCAAAGAGCTCTGATTCATAGGATGGGTTTAAAAAATAAGTCCAATCTGTATCTGTATCAAGAGCTATACTTTAACATCCTAACACTAGGAAATGGGTTTTATTCCTCTGTTTCTCTTCTCTCTTTACCACAGAACTTGCAATACCTTTCAAATGACAGGCTGTTTAACAGACCCAAAAAGTCAAATGTCCTAAACCACGGTTTGTATGAAAAAAGGACATCATCTTCTGAATACTAAGGTATACAACGCTGGAGAAAGCCAAAAAGCCACTCCAAATTAAGGGACAGTAACTGACAAGAAATCAGAAATAATTCTTCAGAATTTGGGCCTTTGGACTCTGATCCAAGAAGAAACAGTTTTCATTGCAAACTTTGTTTATATAAATCTCATTTAGCTTCTAAGGGGACTCATGAAAAACAAAAACATAAAATTTATAGTAGATTGAAATGGAAAAATTAACTCTCACCTTTGAGGACAAGACTTTTACACAAATAGAAGATCAGGATTGGAATGGAAAGGAGACTTATGAAATTTCTGATCTTGAAAAGCCTCTAACAAATGTTTGCCATGAATTTTCTAGGACTTCTTATAAGAAATGAAATGCCAAGCACAGAGAAAAAGGCTGAAGGAACACGTAATAGAACAAGAACACGCTAGAGAATAACACATAACAGAACAAGAACACGCTAGAGAATACAGAGTACACAAGCAGAGAGCCTAGAGAGGCAGCAAGAATTGACAGGAAGTGCTGAGTTCCAACCTGCGGTGGCTGTGTGGTGCTGAACCGATACTCTCCTTGTTTGTCTCGGTTGAACACAACTTTCCAAAGGACCATGTCAAGGAAGAAGTTCTGAGAGATATTCCAGTGAGTTAAGAATTAATAATGACTAAGTCATTTTTTATTAATGTGCACCTTTTTAAAAAATCACACATGCTGCATAATTGATGAAAAGGATATTTTGATTTTCATATATGGAATTTCAGTTAATACTGCCAAATGATCAAGAATGATAGGACTTTTGTAACAAATACAAATCATCATAAAATTCTTGATAAAATGAGACTTCTAAATTTTCCATGAAATATGGCTTTTGTATAAATAGGTCTTTCCCATATTAAAATGATGCTTATGTAATTTGAAGTCTTTCTTCACAATGGTTATTTTCATTGAATATCTAGTACTAATTCTATATCCCTATCTATAGATATATAATTTCATCAGCATCCAACACAAACCATTCTTTAGGTAGTAAGAATAAGTAACATTTCTGTGAAAAGATGAACTGATACTGTAGAAAAAGAAACATTTTAAGAATATAGTATCTTACATGTGCTTCCTAGCACCCATAAAATAGAAAAAAAATCACATTTCAATGGGCAACTTCAAAAGGTCAGTACCATAATATCCATGCTGCCCATCATATCCCAAATTTAAATACCAAGTCATCTTTTAGGGGGTAATTGAAATTAAGTGTAATTTCTAAGACCAGAGCTATTATCACTAAAATATATGCATATATATTTCTCAAAAAAATTACCTTTATTTTGATCCAAAAGCCTGTGCTATGAAACTCTTAACTTAAAAATCACAACTGTATCTCTCTCTTCCATTTTTATAGTTACTGTAAGAGTCAATTATGATAGTAGTTCAGAGAGCAGACAAAAGCTTATTAATAAGCCACCAATGAGAACTTGCTACCTCCTTTTAGAGACGCTAACCTAAAGGCAATCCTAACGGGAGGGTAACTACACAATATACAGTGAATCAAAGGGTACTTAAGACCTCTAGAGGTCACTCAAAAGCAAATACCAAGGAGGATGTTCCAGTAATCAATGCTGAAATTAGGTAAGTCCATAACGATTATTATTTTATACTTTCATTAAACTCTCTTGCTATTAATATTCACTGTGTTTCCTGGAGAATGGCCCTCCCCCTTCCCCCCTCCCTTAAATGGGAGATTTTACTGTACATCACAAAACACAGGTGGCACATGCCAACTCTGATTTCACAATCACTGGTTCATCAGTTTCATGGGCCACCGAGGCCCCAAACTTCTCTCCTTTCTACTCGTCATTAATTTTTATTATCACATTGCTTATTTTCTCCTATCTGTGTGAGTGCAACTAAGTCACCTCCCTTAATATGACCACTATCAATTCATGGAAAAGTTCACAAGAGAAGGCTAAATGAATTTGCCTGAGATGAAACTGAGACTCTGTGGCTTTCCATTATATTACCTGCCCTCTTCTCCCATTTACCATTAAATCACCCAAGAATTCCAAAGCAACATGGTAGCCATTTGACTATGGAAGTGCTTACCTCCACTGTGATAGACACAAAGGCATTGACAAGAACAATGATGAGCATAGTTACACGCCACTGATATGGTACACACACTATCTGTAATGCAAAAACATTTTAAAGTTAAAATTGTTGTATGTAGTCAATATTATAGCACTGTATCATAATTTCTAAATTTATTGAATTCCTATGATGTACCAAACACCTTCATATACATTATCTACTTAATCCTCAACAATGCCCCGCGGTATATATTATATTCCCTTTCAGATGATAAAACTCAAAGTTTAAGTAACTCAAGGTTAAAGAAAATATTAAGTGACTGAGGTTAGAGTCAAATCCTGTTCACTCAGATTCAAAAGCCCATGCTCTACTAGATCATGAATGTCTAACAGTTTCTATTTTCAAAATAAAAACCCATCTTTAAAGAATGAGGTACCAGCCAGGCACAGTGGCTCATGCCTGTGATCCCAACATCTTGGGAGGCAGAGGTGGGCAGATCACTTGAGGCTAGGAGTTTGAGCCTAGCCTGGGCAACATGGCAAAATCTCGTCTCTACTAAAAATACAAAAATTAGCCAGGCGAGGTGGTGCATGCCTATAATCCCAGCTACTCAAAAGGCTGAGCCACGAGAATCACTTGAGCCTGGGAAGTGGAGGCTGCAGTGAGCCGAGATCCTGCCACTGTACTCCAGCGTGGGTGACAGAAGAACCTGCCTTAAAAAAAAAAAAAAAGAGGTACCAATCTAATAACGAAGTACTGGTCAAAACTCAATTATAAAGACAACTTCATAAAAAAAGATGAAGTTAAGAAAAAACAATCTAAGTGTTCACTTTAAAATCTGATTAATTTCTAAGGCCTAAAAAATGGGATAGTTGTAAAGACAGAAAGGTTTATAATAAGAAAACTGAAAGAATCTAACAAATGGCTGGCTACGGAAAGAGGAAGAAAAGGCACAGATAAATAGACACACACGCATGTACACAAGCATGCACACTTCTGACTTGAATAAATAGTGGTACCAAGAAACAGAGAAGAAAAAGGGTTGAAGGAGAACATGATGAGCTTAGTTCTTAAAATGTTTAAATTGAGGGATCTGTTGGGTGGAACACCCAAGTAACAGTCAATATATCAGTGTATTTGCAGGTCTAAAGCTTAGTAGTGAGGTAGGCTCAGGGTATAAAGGTTGGGAGCCTTTAACATATAGATGGTGATTACAGGTGAAGCCATGACTCTAGGGGATATCACCAGAATGTATTGAGTGACCAGAGGAATAAGAACAGAAATGTAAGGAACCCTAACATTTAAGGAATGGGCAGAGGGAGTGGAGCCAAAGTGGAAAATGAGACTGGAGAGTCAGAGCTAAGAAAAGGCCAAAAGACAGCAAAGCATCACAAAATTTCAGAAGAGAGTATCTTAAGAATGATGACATGGCTAACTCGTCAAATACTGCTGGGGAGTCAAGTAAGACTGGAAAAAAATACATTAGGGAGAAAAGTCCATTGGACTTAACAAGTAAGAGGCTAACGGCCTTGCTGAGGGCCGTTTCAGTAGATTGGCAGGGGAAGATGCCAGATTAGTTGACGAACGTGTGGGAGGTGAGCTGAATGTGGTACTATTTCAAGAAAAAGTTGGTTGTGAAACAGAAGACATGTGCACCAGGAGAGAAATATAATGCATTTTGTTTTCTTCTTTTACTGTAAGTGCTTATCTAAACCCCTCAATGAAATATGCAGGGAAACAGACATATACTGCTGGTAAGACTACAACCTGGAACATCTTCAAAGTTCAATAATGCAGAATTTATGAAAATTAAATTTATAGATACCCTCAGACCAAGCAATTCCACTTTTGCATATTTAGCCTATAAATATATATTTGTCTGTAACTGAAGTGTGCAAGGATTTACAATACCACATTCTTTTTTTTTTTTTTTTTTTTTTTTTTGAGACGGAGTCTCGCCCTGTCGCCCAGCCTGGAGTGCAGTGGTGTGATCTTGGCTCACTGCAAGCTCCGCCTCCCGGGTTCACACCATTCTCCTTACAATACCACATTGTTTCTAATAGCAAAACACTGGAACCAACCTAAATATCCAGCAAAACAGGACTAAACAAATTACTAAAAAGTCCCTGCAATGGAATACTCATTTCACAAACTTTGTAAGTTTAAGTTATATAACTTTAAGATCAAACCTGTCCGTAACATACAAGAAAAGAAAATTAAATCTGATCTCATTCATGCAGAGGCAAAAATCCAAAACAAAATCATAGCAACCTAAATCCAAATTTCAAAGAGTGTGCATCATGACCAAACTGAATTTATTCTAGAAATGCAAAGTTAGTTCAATATTTGAATACTGATCAGCTATAATTCATCACATTCTTCAGGGAGAAAAACTGTGTGACCATTTCAATAGCTGCAGAAAAAGCATTAGATTGGCTGGGCACAGTGGCTCACACCTGCAATCCCAGCACTTTGGGAGGCCACGGTGGGTGGATCGTGAGGTCAGGAGTTCGATACCAGTCTGGCCAGATGGTGAAATCCCATCTCTACTAAGAACACAAAAACTTAGCCAGGCATGGTGGCACACGCCTGTAATCCCAGCTACTTGGGAGGCTGAGGCAGGAGAATTGCTTGAACCCGGGAGGTGGAGGTTGCAGTGAGCCGAGATCATGCCACTGCACTCCAGCCTGGGCGACAGAGCGAGACTCCATCTCAAAAAAAAAAGCATTAGATAAAAATTTAAAACCACTTATGTTAACAACACTGTACAACTAAGGAAGCTTCCTTAACCTGATAAAGACTATACACTAGAAATATACAGCAAACAGTTTATCTAATGGTGAACTATTAGGAACACGTCCTTTAGAGACAAGAGTAAGACAAGGATATCACTATCACTATAACTAATATATTAAGACATGAAAAATACAGAAAAAGCACATAAAGACTGTGAAATGTCAGAAACAAACTGCTGGGGAGTCAAGTAAGTAATTACAGCTTGTAATTACTTATATATGATGCCTGTCTAAACAGAAAATCCTAGACAATCTAAAATGTGTCTGAATAAAGTCTGATAAGGCTTCTGGGAACAAGATGAATATCTAAAACAACTGTATTGAGTTCAACAACATAAAAAATTAGAAAATGTCATTTTAATTATAATTTATCAAGGGATCAAAAACTGTTATTACTCTAAGAATCTAACAAAAAATGTACAAAAACCATTAGGGAGAAAACTATCTGACTTACTGAAAGACATTAGGTCAAAAAGACAGAAACAGAACGAGATACTGTTTGTGGGAAGGAAAACTAATGAATTCACCCTCAAAATTTATTGATCAACTCTGTGTAATTCTAATAGTTCCGAAAGGGCTTTTCCTGGTATTTGACAAACTAAACTTAAAAGTTAAGAAGAAAAGCTTAGCTGGGCACAGTGGCTCACCAAGGCAGGGAGCTCACCCGAGGTCAAGAGTTCAAGACAAGCCTGGCCAACATGGTGAAAACCCATCTCTACTAAGAATAGAAAAAATTAGAGCCAGGCGTTGTGGCAGGTGCCAGCTACTCGTGAGGCCGAGGCAGGAGAATCGCTTGAATCCGAGAGACAAAGCTTGCAGTGGGCTGCACTCCAGCCTGGGTACCAGAGCCAGATTCTGACACACACACACACACACACACACACACACACACACACACACACACACAAAAGGAGGAAGAAGGAAAGCTCAAGCACAGCCAAAAAGGTCATGATGAACAACAATGTGAGAGGGGGGTAGGAGTCCTACCCAAGCATGTATCAAGGTTTCTTATAAAGTCATGGTAGCATGGACAATATAGTACTGGCACAAATAAAGAGAACTAAACAACAAAATATGGAGTCCCTAAAACACTATTAGTCATATATATGGAAAACTGTGGCCAGGCGCCATGGCTCATGCCTGTAATCTTAATACTTTCGGAGGCTGAGGCAGGAGGATCACTTGAGCCCAGGAGTTGGGGGTCAGACTGGGCAACACAGTGAAACCCCATTACAAACCCCATTTATAATTTTTATTACAAAAAATTTTAAAATTTGCTGGGTGTGGTGGTGCACAACTGTGGTCCCAGCTACTCAGGAGGCTGTGGTGGGAGGACCACTTGAGCCCAGGAGGTCGAGGCCACAGTGAGCTGAGATCATACCACTGCACTGCAGCGTGGGTGACAGACAGACGGACGGACGGAAGGAAGGAAGGAAGGAAGGAAGGAAGGGAGGGAGGGAGGGAGGGAGGAGAGGGGAGGCGGGGGAGGAAGGAAAGAAGGAATGAAGGAAGGAAGGAAGGAAACTGATATAAGACAAAGGTATCACTGAATATCAGTGGCAAAGACAAACTTCAATAAGCAATTGCTGAAACAAATGGGTATGCGTAAGAGAAAAAAAGAAAAAGAAATTTGATCCCTATTCAAAAGCTATACATAAAATTAATTCCAGATGGATTAAAGACTAAATGTGAGAGTATCTTTATAACTTTGAGATGGACAAGTCCGCCAAACTGAGACACGAGGAACAAATAAAGAAAGAAATTAATAAATTTGCCATGTCAGACTATAAGTTTGTTTTTTAAAAAGAGATATTATAAACAAAGTAAAAAGACAAGCCACAAACTGGGAGAAGATATTTATCACTATACAGTCAAATATAATACATTAAGAACTCTGAAAACTAAGTTTTAAAAAAAAGACAACATCCTAAAAATTTTTAAAAAAGACAACATCCTAGAAAAAATTGGCCAAAGGCATGAATAGGCAGTTCACAGAGAAAATAAAAATGGCCATTAAACACATGAAAAAATGCTCAACTCCATTAGTAAAGTTAATGAGCAAAGTAAAACCATCATGATATAACATTTTACACCCACTGGACAAGACCAAGTGTTGGCAATGATGTGAAACAACAGGATGTCAAACACTGATGGATGATTGATACAATCACTTTGGAAAACAACTTGGCACGTGGTAGCTGAAGAGTACATGCTCATCATGATACCAGAATACAGCAGAGGAAACTTTTGTCCCTAATGGTTTGCCAAGGGTAGTAGTGGAAGGAGTATATTACCACTGGAAGTGTCTGGAATTACCAGCACATGGCAATATTTAAAAAGCAGATGGACTTCTACTGGGCTTAATCACTGTTTGCAAATTCTCTACAGCATCGCACCACTCTCTCACTGCTTGTACCTGGGATAAACCACTCCTACTCCACTCTTTCATACACTATTACTTACCCCCATACACTGAAAGACATGTAAAAATATGTTCATAGCAGCAATATGTTCAGTAATTATTTACCAACAGAGGATGGAGAAATGAATTTAATATATTCCTACAATTGTATACTATACAGCAATGAAAATAAAATAATGTATCAACAAACAATGTTGATGGGAGAATGCAAGTCACAGAAAAAAGGGAACAAGATAACATTTTCATGAAGTTCAAGAGCACACAAAACTATCTTTTATGACTGCAAACATATATGGTAAGTATATAATGAAACAGGGAATGACAGGGAAAATCATCAAAACAGGTACATGAGAGTGCCTTATTGATTGGTAACGTTACCTTTTTTTTGTTTTCTTTTGTCACTGACTTGTGCTCAGGTAATGTTCATTTTTTCAGGTTGGATGATACACTCAGGGTGTTATCTCTTTACTATTTTTTAATTATGGCTAACAACTTAAATATGTGTGCATATTCTTTTGTATGAAAAACAAGTATTTCATTACTCAGAAAGTTTTTAATGAAAAGAATTGAAGAACTAAATGGCCAAAACACAAAAGGGAGCATGTGTAGACTACTCAAGAAGTAGACTGGTAGAGAAGAGAGGAGTAACAGGTACCAGGATCAACGTTTTTTTATGTTTTTAAAGACCAAGGGCTATTTAATTTGTTTGCAGACAAATGAAAACGGCACCAGAAGCAGAGATTAAACAGGTATAGCTAAGAAAAGCTGCTATTTTCATTAGGTTCTTTATTCTCTGTAGAGTATCTTTGGGTTAATATAACAGCATCTTAGAATACACAAAAAGAAGAGATCCTGGAAAAAAAGAAATGTATACAGGTTAGTCTTTTTCCCCAAACAAATGATGTGCTTAAGTCTTACCTGAAGAACCTGGTCAACAGAGGCAACTGGATACAACATGATGAATAATATAAAAATATATAAAAAAATCACAGAAAAAACAAAAAAATCTGGAAAAGACAGCAAAAGTAAAACAAGTAAATTAGGAAATTCCTTTATATAAAAAGGCATCCAATAACAGCTGGTATACTGTCATTTGTAAATTTGGTTTTGAATACTTTCACTTCAGTTGATGGAATAAAGTATGTGCTCTGTTATCTCCTGGAGTATGAGACATTGTTCGGGGCACCCAAAAGATTCACATACACAACGTGATGTTATGTTTAAACTCCATTAACTTTAACCGTGAAAGTCCTTCAGAAAATAATCAGCACTTAAAAAAATAAGACTCAGACCTTCACAGACATTTGTATGTCGCCCAAATGGATAGCTACTTTGTAAGATAATAAAGCCAATACATAATGCACAAATAAGAGACTAAACTATGTGTGGCAAAATGAGATTATCATTTAAAACATGTATTCAATGACAATTACTATTGACTGTAAAAATGCTGAATAACACTTATTTTCAGTATTGGGTATGTCTTAATCCTAAATAGAGGCATTCTAACCTAAATGTAAATGTATTTCTAGTAAGTGAATCCCATTTTTTCACTGATTTACACTGTGAAAATGTTTTCACAGAAAATCTTAGCCAAAAGCCAAGAGACTGAGTTGATCTACTATTTTTCAAAGTGGGCTGACCTTATGGCTTGCTATGGGAGCTGGGAATGGCAAATCCACCCAGCAGTACTTTGTCTCACTTTCCTAACTCAAAAACCAAACTGCTTGCTCATGGCCATTTTCTTAAGTGTGTACATCTACACATATACACACATGTATATAAGCATATACTTGTATAATAATAAGCCATAAAAGTGGCTCCAAAATTTTCTAATATATTGATAGCCCAAACTTTTTTCCCCTTTTCCTTTGATCTGGACATTTATTTACAACTTCCTATTTGAACTCCACTTCAAACTCAAACTTTACTAAGACCACATACAAAAACTTTATCATGAAGCCTCCAGACTGGGTAAAGAACTTACTTTTTACTGACTGTAAATGAAGGGTCTCAGTGCCATTTTTAAACGTGGATGTTATTTGTAAATATAAACTTTGTTAATATCAATTCAAAACTACAGGTAAATATTTATCATTCTACAGAAACTATACTATATTATTTTTATGTTTATATATACCAGTGTGTAGGGTGTATATATATATATATATATATAGTATATATATATATATATATATATATATATATAGTTTTAGTAGCTTAGGCTGAAACTTACACTAACACTTATACCAAAGGTGGAGACATATTTTTTACCATGAGCCACTGACCAAAAGGATTAAAAAAAATGTGGGGCTGGGCACGGTGGCTCACGCCTGTAATCCTAGCACTTTGGGAGGCCGAGGCGGGCGGATCACGAGGTCAGGATAACGAGACCATCCTGGCTAACACGGTGAAACCCTGTCTCTACTAAAAACACAAAAAATTAGCCAGGCGTGGTGGCGGGTGCCTGTAGTCCCAGCTTCTCGGGAGGCTGAGGCAGGAAAATAGTGTGAACACGGGAGGCGGAGCTGGCAGTGAACAGAGATCACGCCACTCCACTCTAGCCTGGGTGACAGAGCGAGACTCCATCTCAAAAAAAAAAAAAAAAAAAAGTGGGACTCATATTGGGTAAAAAGTAATTCTACTAAATTGTAAATAGGAAATGTGACATCCTGTTTCACAAATGCAGCAACTAAAGTATCATGTAAGTTCTATGGTCATTTAAGTAGTTATGGTCAGATAAGGAAAAAGTGTTTGGAAAGTGGTGGTTGGAAGTATATAAAAACAGAAAAGAAAAAAGACAAAATCAGAAAAAGGACAAAAAGCAATGGTCAGAACATAAATGGCAGAGAGAAACACGGAGACTAAAAAAGAAATTCAATGAAGTAATAAGCCATATTGCATGTTTTTCAAATCTGATTGCATTTTTCAAACCACAGCAAAAACAGATTTGCGACCTGGTTCTTGACATGTGTGTCGTTGGCAAAAAAAAAAAAAAAAAATTTACTCAAGCACAGAAGCTTCTTTACATCTACCTAAACAATGTTTGTTTCTCAAATTTTCATGTCTCTCCCAGAGCCACCTCTTGGATCCCACCTCTAAAAATCTGCCAAGATTTCCATGTGAGAGAGAAGATAAGTAACTGAATCTATCTTTGTTTAGCCTGGAGGAAAAAAAAAAGGCACTATCCAAAAAAGACACTAAGTGACAGGGGAGAGAAGGATGGCTGGCAGACATACAACCATACCAAATTTTAAAATCAGTAAGGATTTCAACCAAGAATAGAAGAATTAGGTATTCACTTTAGAGAGGTATGAATTTCTTGTAGACTATGCTCTCAGCTCCTAGATTCTCCTAGCATTATAAGCAATGGCTTAGTAATTGTACTAAAGTGTAAACATTCTTCACCAGAAGACAGCTATCAAAACAAACTGTGTGTCACTGGTGACTGCAGGCCAGGGTCAAGGGTGTTCCTTAAGATTTAGATTGTTTTAGATTGATTCTTCCACAAAGCTATGTGAATCTAAACAAGTCATTTACAGTCAAATTATTTTATCTATAAAATGGGGATATGATAAGGATTCTGTAGGAAATAAGAGATTTTTAAGTATTCAAAGTATATAGCAACATGTAAATTGAAGTTATTATGAAATATTTTTCAGCTTGTGGCAACATATGATGTGCTGTTCATGATACCAGATGCCACCGATGGACTATGGTATCAAAATAAGGTACCAGAAAGGATTTCCTTCATATTTTCCTTAGTGACTCCGAAATAAGGTAGACACACATACAATATTTACCCCAATATATATCTCTTTGTTCCTTCCCCAAACAATAACTAGTACTAACTAACCTACAGCCACAAATCCTAAGCCTTTTTATTCCTATCCCTCTCCCCTTATCCAGTTATGTCTTTAAAAGGTCACCTTATTCTGTAGGGCCTCTAGGTATCTGAATGGCTTCAACCAATTTAGGCATGCTAGATGAATAGGAAAAAGATACATAGGCCCTGAATAGGAAAGACCCTGGCAATTCAGTAGTAATGCCTTCATAGACAAAGGGATTAGATAGCACAAGCAATAAACTGTAGGGATGATCCAACAAGAAACTGCATTAAAAATTGAAGCCAAATCCCAAGAAATCATGTCTAGTTAAAGGAGAGTGTTAAGAATTAAGTGCATATCATGACCCTTGAAATGAAGGCAGCTGAATGAGAAAATGTAACTGTGAAGCTCAAGTTGAAAACAGGTAACCACACAGACTGAAGTTAAGTTTAATTTAGATTAAAAGTGAACCAGTACAAGAAAGCAAAAAACTCTAAAGAGAATTCCTTAAACGCCTAAGGCTGAGATTAATTCTTAAAAATCATAACTTCAAAATACTTTTAATATATTACACACCATTTATAGAGAGCAACAACTGGCAGGTCCTAGCAAAGGACCCTGCATGGACTCCAGTGACAAACAGACAAGAGGTGAAAACTAACAGACAGGTCCTAGAAAGGACTCTGCATGGATCCAGTGACACACAGACAAGAGGTGAAAACTGGCAGAATGCCTGCATCAACTGCACTGCTCCTTTCGTACTTTTCAGAAGGCATGCTTTACAACAGCAAGTGCTTCTGTTTACCCACTGAGAGAAGTACACAAGCTGCTGACAGTAACGGCAATCGAGTTTTATGGTTATATTTCTGCTAAATATAATCTTAGTACATTTTTAAATCATCCAGTGGCCAAAAATAGTGTTTATTATTTATTCTAGTAAATTGGAAATTAAACGAGAAAACAAAATTTCTTAAACCTTTTTTAATAAGTTTTCCAAACATATAGAAGATGCATCTTTAGAAACAGGCAACTAATATTCTCCCTTTCTCTTTTTTAATTCTAACAGTGTGGATAGGGTAGATCTCTAAAATTAACTTTCTTGATAGAGCTGTCTTGCTTGCAAACCAGTCTGAATACCAGTTTTCTTCAAATTAAAAAAAAAAAAGCAATGTTTTTTCCTAGATGTTTTCAGCTACCCTTACATGTGTTCAACATTTCCTTGAAATTTAAAAATGTTGAATAAAATGTATACCAATGCTAATGATTAAATGCACCTTATAATAAGTTATCTGTAGTAAAAAATCCTTTTAGAAATACCGTGGCAAACCTTCCATGGAAGGTTTTTCATCCTGTAGCATGGTTCTAATACAGTTCTTAGTAACATAGTTATTAGTATGGTTATACAGCAATACACAACTAATAAATAATATAGTTATTTTTAAAATAATAGTTATTTTTTAAAGTTCTTAGTAACACAGTTATTAGTATAGTTATATAGCAATATATAACAATAAATAAGTAATAATATAGTTATTTTTAAAATAAGAAACATCAGTTCCAAAAAGGGGGCAAAAAAAAGGAAAAATTACCAGTGAGATCAGATTGTAATCTTACCTGCACAAAATATAAAGTAATAAAACTTGCCCTACAAACCAACAGGGTAGAAGTGACAAATAAGATAATGTATGAGAAAATGCCTTATAAATGCTAATATGAGACAGAGACACTAATAGTTGTGATTCCTATGACATACCGATACCTGTGACCTGCCAACTAGAACACTGCCACCTAGTCATAACTACAGCAAAAGAATAATTGCTATTTGCTCCAAGATACTGCAGAAGTCTAAAAGTTGTTCCATATATTAGTGTATTCTCAATTTTTTTTAATTGGCAATTTATATGTAGTAACTGATTTTTTTCCATAAACTCTAATTTTGATCAATCAAAATGGTATATTCTATTGCCATAGACAAGTCCACAAGGGCACAGGCCTCCATTCAGTATACTGGCCCTTTCTGCAATAGCATGCAAAGATACTAGAAATGAAGAATCCCAGAGGTGAACACAGGCCACACCAGCGTCGGAAATGAAGAAGATGGCAGATGCTGCGCAGACCGCCCGGGAGGAAAGTATAATACCTACTGTTCCAACTGAGGAACCTCTGTCTCCGCTTCCATTCCTAACTCCCTCCGCAGTGGGCTGAGGAACCTCCGTCTCCGCCCCCGATCCTAACTCACCCAACAGTGGGCTGAGGAACCTCCGTCTCCACTTCCCATCCTAACTCCCTCCACAATGGGTTGCAGAAATAAAAGCTGGAGCCAGAGGCACTATGATGTGAAAAACAACAGTGCTTAACACTGGTAGCTTGAACTTTAAACTTAGGGTGGCAACTACCAATGAAAGTAAAACAAAACGGTAAACATCTAAATCACTAAGTTGATTCTATCTGTGAAGATCTGGTTTACTGTGGCAAAGACAGTTATAATTATTCTCTTCTACATTAGTTTTAAAGGGGCAAGCAGGGTGGAAATCACAATAAATGCCAAACTTACAATTTTTGTAGCAAGGTTGCCTGAAGGGTTTTCCTTTTGAAAAGGCAATTGCCACTATGAGGTACTGAAAACTGGAAATAAAAAACACTGTGGTATTTTCATAATTTTGTATATTATGTTCATCAAGTTCGGTTTCATTGTCTACGTGTGAAGAATTCCAAAACCCGCTTCCTGTTGTATTACAAGCACTAGAACACATGCAAAAAATGTCTGCATTAGTAAACATAATACTCATTTCCCAAAAGAAACCAATCTTACCTTAATTGCCCTGAATCACTATCATAACAAATAGAAATATGATATTTACAGCAAAAGGTCCAACAATATCAATATAAGATATATAAAACAGGTACAAGAGTATGAAGGGTTTTCTCTTCAGTCCGACATCTCAACCACTTAAAAAATTAGAATCAAGTAGGAAATATTTAATAAGCCCCCCTCAGTTTTTTTAATTTTGGGAGTAATTTTAGCAGAGTGAAAACAGAGACAATGGGCTTGACCCAAGCACTATCACTTTTCAGTGCTAACTGAGGAAATATTATTCACTCTCCCTGAGCCTACCTCCTCGCTGGTTAAATGTTGGTACCTACATCACAAGTTGACTCATGCAAATGCCTAGCGAGTCCCCGGTGCTGAGATGTCCCTCAATATTCTCCAGCTATGGCTGTCCCTCATTTCTACTTTCAGGTAGGCAGGACCATCAGGCACAGAAACAGCTAACGATGAGAAGTCCCCAACAATCATTACTAAAGCATGAATTATAAACACAGGTAAGTGCTCACGAAACGTGATTAACAGACTATGCTGCAAGTGAACTATGGGAAGATTCTCAAGAAAATTCCACCTCTTTTTTTTTTGCATGTGCAGTGTTTCTACGCACATATAAAAAAAGTAATGTTAAATCTCCTACAATCTTCTAAAAATTTTAAAGATAATATCCCTCAGTCAAGCAAACTAGAAATAAATGTTTACATCTGAAAATTTAATTCTACAAAATTAACACGTTTAATTAATTAAAATGTTATAATTTGTGATCCGTAAAGCACTCTACACTCTACGAAAAGCAAATGCACCTAATTTATTTTTCCCCTTAAGTTTTAAAATGCCATTTCCTAAACTGGGGGATGAAAGATTAGAAATACAAAACACTCTGGGTTTAGAAGAGGCCCCAGAGATTAATTCCAACTTTCTTATTTTACAGATAAGTAAGGCTCAGTAACAAATTAAGAAACTGATCTAAGATCCCCATTTTGGTAGGATTATTAGGATTTTGCCTGAACATCTTCCCAAAGACAGGCGTGACCGTGATATACAGGCAAATACAAGCCAAATTATGTAAGTGTTTAAAGCAGCCTGCATGCAAACTTTGTCTCAAAAAACAATCTCTTGGCTCACTGCAACCTCTGCCTCCCAGGTTCAAGTGATTCTCCTGCCTCAAGCCTCCCAAGTTGCTGGGATTACAGAAAGGCACCACCATGCCCGGCTAATTTTTGTATTTTTAGTAGAGACGGGGATTCACCATGTTAACCAGGCTGGTCTCGAACTCCTGGTCTCAAGTCATCAAACTCCTGGTCTCAAGTGATCTACCTGCCTCGGCCTCCCCAAAGTACTAGGACTACAGGTGTGAGCCACCGCACCTGGCACAAACTTTTATATTAACTTCTAAACTCATTTTTATATCATATATGTTGCACATATTTTATATAGATTTTTACATAGATTGACCAACTTACTCTGATTTTGGATGCCACACTTCATACCAAGGTTGCTGTTTGACCCAAAAAAAACCCAAAGATTGAAATCCAATGCAGATGATAATCTGAGACAAAACGGAGAAGAGAAGGGCCCCAGATATAAGACCCGAAGGTGGTCTTTGTGCCACAAGTTCTTTCCAGGCAGGATTTAAACTCACTATATTGAAAAGAAAAAGAGGAAAGGTTTGTATTTACATTAATCTATCACTATATAAGGCATAACTAGATTCATTTAGGAACTTTAAAAATTTGTTTTTGCCTAACAATTCTTTAATACAAAAAATCTTCAAAAACCAAGCCACATATCGTACATATTTAAATAATCTGTAAAAGTAAACAGTGTAGGCTTTTTGAAAAACGCCTCAGGAATAATTTTTACATTTCTATTGAAATTCAGCAGTAATATTAACAAATAAAACTAGGCCAGGCACGGTGGCTCACACTTGGAATCCCAGCAATTTGGGAGGCCACAGTGGGAGAATCACTTGAGCCCAGAAGTTTGAGACCAGCATGGGCAACATAGTGAAACCCCATCTCTACAATAAATAAATAAATAAATAAATAAATAAATAAATAAATAAATAAATAATTTTAAATTAAAAAATAGTAAAACTAAATATAAACACAATAACTATAAAGTTAATCATCTCATATATTTAAGAGGCCATTATATTCTGAATCTTTAATTGCAAAACTACAGTTAAAATAATACACACTTCTTCCTCTTACGATATTCACAATGTTTGAAGCAATATAAACATAGCAGAAACATTTTTCAAAAAGGCTTTCATTACTTATTAAGGTGGTATACACAAGTTTTCCACTATAAAGTTCCTATTTTTCAGCTGGGCACACTGGCTCACGCCTGTAATCCCAGCAATTTGGGAGGCCGAGGCGGGCGGACCACTTGAGGTCAGGAGTTAGAGACTGGCCTGGCCAACATGGTGAAACCCCGATTCTACTAAAAATATAAAAATTAGCAGGGCATGATGGTGCACACCTGTAATCCCAGCTACTCAGGAGGCTGAGGCAGGAGAATCGCTTGAACTCGGGAGGCGGAGGTTGCAGTGAGCTGAGATCGTGCCACTGCACTCCAGCCTGGGTGACAGAGACAGACTCTGTCTCAAAAAAAAAAAAAAAAAGAAAAAAAGAAATTTCTATTTTTCCCTTTGTAACTAGCACCTTGTGAAAAGATACTTTGAGACTGTGAAAATCCTGCTCCTCATCAAACTTTCACTAGTTTTATCATCTACTAAAGATAAGTGGTTCTCAACTGGAGGATTTTGCACCCCAAAGGAGCATCTGGCAATGTCTGGAGATATTTTTTGTTCTAATCTAGGGGACTACGGGAAAATAGGCATAAAGGACATTGTTGACACAAATGACAAAACCTGAATATAGGTTTTGCACCAGATATTATATCAATGTTAAATTTCCTGATCTTTACAACTGTATTTAGTTACATAAAAGAATGGTTTTGCTTTTAGAAAATATATACTAAAATTGTCAGAGGCAAAAGAGCATAATGACTCAAAACTTATTTTCAAATATTTCAGGGAAAAAAATAGAGACAGAACAATTAAAAAATTGGCGCAAGATATAAACAACTGGTAATAAAATAACATATTTACAAGGAATCTGGAGAGGTGTGAGCTATGTTACAATTGTTGATGTAAATTTACAAAAATTTAATAAGTCACATCAGAATTTCATACACTTTAAAAATCAATAACAAAGCAAAATACTCACTTGTAAATACCACTACCAAAATGATTGCCAGATCAATGAAGAGAAACTGGAAGTCTCCTAGGTTACTTAAGATCTACAGAAGTAATTTTAAAAACATTATTAGTTTTTGGGAATTATTTTTATAGCGTCCCCAGGTTTTATTAATAGTTTGGATTTTCCCTATAATGACAACTTAAAAATGACACTCGGACCTGCTTAAAAATTGAAATATAAGTGTCTCTGAAACTAAATATAACATATATTTATAAATATTTGATTTAGTATATTAGTATAAAAGGCATCTCCTTAAAATTCGTTCAATAGGCTGGGCGCGGTGACTCACACCTGTAATCCCAGCACTTTGGGAGGCCGAGGCGGGCAGATCACTAGGTCAAGAGATCGAGACCACCCTGGCCAACATGGTTTTTTTGGCAAAAAGAAAACACAAACATTTACTCAAAATATTCAACGTTGTAAATTAGTATCTTCATCTAATACCATCCCTTCTGATACTTTCTACAAACGGTCAAATGGGATAGTGTCACCATGAGTCTTTAGGATGTCAGAACACTTTGATTATAAAATCTGATAGGGTACCTGTGGCCATCGCTGTTTATACTTTTTCTCCAAATGCAAACCATTCTCCAAATTCAACAAACCACTGTTGAAACATCTTTTCTCATTTTAACTTTTTCAATTTGCTATTCAAACTACAGTAAATTGAAGGTAAATTTATAGGTACTACTCACAGAAACAATTACTAATGGATGCATTCAAAATCAAACACATACGCTCAACATCTTAATTTACGGTGCACATTAAGTGTTATCTCTGCACACAATGTTAATACTCACAGAATACAGCAGAGTAACACTGAAGTACTGGATAATGCTGTACAATGCCATGAATTTAAACACACAGAAGGAAGTTATTAAAGCAGCACGGCCTTCCCTGTGAAAAGAAATCAAATGTCGGCATATGAATAGAAGCATTTTAAACTCCTTTTCCAAACCACAATTTTATCTTGACAGATGAACATCAACATTCAACGGCTACAACAAAGTGCTTATCCACCAAAAGAACTAAACCAAATGAGGAGTAGCAATCAATCTGTTACTAATAAGTTACAGCTCAAATGTGCTAATCTGCTAATATTAAACAAATTCATGTTACTTTTTATGATAATTTTCTCTTCTGTATTATCAGAGACAGAGAAAAAGGGATGAGAAAAATTTTAATTTGTACTACCTGATAAGGTTTGGCACACAGGAAATACTAGGAGTCTTAGAGGTAAAGGGAGATGCCACTGAAGCTTCGAGCTCCGATAAGGAAATGCCTCCGTGTGCCCTCTTCAAAGCCTAATAATTTTAAGAAAACTGGTTAAGTTTTGTGAATATGATTTAGGCTAGAGTAAGAACTATAAAACTAAATCACAAAAACTATACTTACACCACAATCATTTGCGCCATCACCACACATCCCAACAAAATAACTAAGAAACAAAACAATGTTAAGATTTTAATTAATTTCTTAAACTACAAAACATTTAACTTATTAAGACTTTTCTATTACAGTATTATAAAGAGCTAACACACCAAGATTCCCCCAGTGGAACTATGAATCTTTTCACTATAATGAACACAGGTGTGCTGCTTTGCAAACAGCACCAGACCACAAGTGAAATGAGCTAGGTTATTGTCCTATTTCTGTCACATTATCGGCAAATCATTTTGGTGTCTCAATTTCCTCATCTTTAGAGCAAAGCGCTTGTGCCTACAGTCTTTAGTATGGCTACTTTTAACGTTATCAGTAAAAATTTATCCCTTAATAACCTGAAACATAACTGTTTACTAAAATGATTAGCCACTTCTATCAAGATAGAGCACCTGAAAGAATGAAGTCATAGAGAAAAAACTGTGGATATTGTACTTTAGCTAAATAAAAAGCACATGAGACTCTTTTAAAGCGGCACTTAAAGTTCTGAACTATCTTATAGATCACAATTATATATATAAATATGAAATATTAGTATAAGAAACATATAAAAATTATTTTTCTGATGCTGAAATGAAACCATCATTCATCAAAAACCAAAACCAAAAAAGACACCAATACTTACTCAACATTTTGCAATGCTTCTATCAACTGTGTCTTCTGATCAGGTGCCATACGGGCAAACACGGTGCCATGCAACATCAACTGGAAACAATAATACAAATTTTTTTAAAATACTGTTGCGATGCATTCATGTGAGCACACACATACACCCAAATTACTTACCTTAGGAACAAGGTCTTGAAAATGCTCCAGTATCACTGAGAATGATTTTCCATTCATTGCAAAATGATAACGAGTCATTTGAAGATCCTCTAAGCTATCATGGACCAATTTAACCGGAATAGCCTGTGTATATGAGACATTGGGAACAATATTTAGGCAACCAAACCAAGTAAAACAATTCTATTTTAAACATATTTGTTCTAAAACTGAATTCTTTCATTTGATATGTTCCACAACATGATGAAAGCCGGACATTTATTCAAAGTAAAAAGAAACTCAATTAAATATCAGCTTCAATTTGAAATGATGCATGAACTGAGTATGATGGACCACCTGCATCATTTACCACTAGTTACCTGAAGAATACGATAAACATCTGGAATTCTTGTACTTTAAAACTATGCTTCTCATCTTAGCTAAATATCAAAATTTGAACATTGAGATTCCTGGGTCTGTCCCAGTCCTAATGAAACATAATCTCTGAAAAAATAGCCCTGACTTCTGTTTTCATTTAGTTTTTGCTTTACTGTGTTTTAATGCACCACTTTTTTTATTTTTTCAGACTAAATTTAAATCAACAAACTTTAAAACGGACAGTCGATCTTGACCTTACCTCTGGGTCAATTGCTGATGGATGACTGCACTGCGTGAGGGAGTCTGCATAATGCCAATTTATTTTGGCAACTTTCCCATCCTTTGGAGGTAATGCTTCAGCAATAATCACTTTATCCTGAGGTAGAATCATTCCACAATCTCTGGCCACAGAGACAGCAGTCAACATACTGTCACCTAATTTTCAAAATATTTTAAATGTATTGAAATTAAAATGGAAACGTGAACGTATCAAACATGTACTTGCTGAGAATCTACTACAGTCTCCATGACTGGGCTGGCAGAGTAACGATAATGTATGGTTCTTCCACTTACAGTTTAAAAATAACAAAATTGGAGCATACTTATCAAAAGAAGCCTCAAATAACGCAAGCACGTTATATGCTAAAGAAAACATCTCACCCACAATTTTTAAAGCCAAATATAATTCTCAATCTTTTCCAGTCATGCACTATTTGTATCTACACAATACCTGGCACGGTGCTACACACAGATCAGGTGGCTCAATAAATACTTACCGAAATAACTTTACAAAGTGACTAGTGGTCTGTGCAAGAACACCAGCACCATATCATAGAAAATGATGAATTACAAAAGCAAGATCATACAAAACAAAAAGGTAAGACAGGTAATAAGAACAGGTGTAAACGAGAAACAAGAGAGACAACTTCTCAGTCATGAGAAGAAAGAAGAGCAGCAAGAACAGGATCTTATTAAGGAGAAGCAGACAAAGGTTTGTGGATCCCACTGCTACCAAAACAGAAGAGCGAGATATTTCTTTCCTCAATTTCCACACACTATTTCCAAGAATATCTTCCTATGACCTTTGGTACACAAAGCCATATTCTGGCAAGGGGAAAATAAATAAATAAATAAAAGAGGAGGACGAGGAACAGGTGAAAAGTGTCTTGACAAAGAAGACGCAAGAACTAAGAATGGCTGGAATGCTAACAGACTTAGTTACCTTGAGTTATACGGTAAAATTATGTTATTAGATAGATCTCAAGAGTCTAAAACACAAAAATGTATACAGACTTTCTCCATATTAGTCTTACTGAACACGTAAGTGCCATTAAGTATCTTAAATCTGATTATCTGCTAAGAAAAAAAAACAAAAAACAGAGCTACCACAATTTCACACAGCTAATGAGTAAGAGTTATCTAATATTATCAACAGTATAGTAACATCAGGAGAATCCCTTAGATGTACTAGAAAAAAAAAAGTAGGCTATTTCACTAGAATTCAAGCTAGGGTAATAAACAATATCTTACATATAAACATTTCATGCTATCGAATATCTATTAATCATTTTCTATGTAGCTGACAGTTCTAAAAGTTGCAAAGGACCCCAACATGAGTAAAATATACTCCTAACCCTCAAGAATCTTATATTCTAGTACAGAAAACAAATCTACAAATAACACAAGGTACAATAAGTGCTATAAGAAATATACGAATAAAGAGAGAAAACAAAAAGGAGTCAAGTTTAAATTTTTACAGTGTACTTTTACTATTCTTTTTTTTTTTTTTTTTTTTTTGAGACGGAGTCTCGCTCTGTCGCCCAGGCCGGACTGCGGACTGCAGTGGCGCAATCTCGGCTCACTGCAAGCTCCGCTTCCCGGGTTCACGCCATTCTCCTGCCTCAGCCTCCCGAGTAGCTGGGACTACAGGCACCCGCCACCGCTCCCGGCTAATTTTTTGTATTTTTAGTAGAGACGGGGTTTCACCTTGTTAGCCAGGATGGTCTCAATCTCCTGACCTCATGATCCACCCGCCTCGGCCTCCCAAAGTGCTGGGATTACAGGCGTGAGCCACCGCGCCCGGCCGTACTTTTACTATTCTACTACACTTTCTATAAATAGGATTCGCTAGACCTCAAAAAGAATATGACAAAGTTATCTTGCGCTTGGGAAAATATTCAGAGCTAAAAGAGAACTTAGGTTGAAACCACTATAGACTATATAATATGATTTTATAACTGATTATCCCTCAATATAATATAACTTCAGCTCTGTCACACTCCATTTGCTTCTGTGTTCTTTTATAAAGTCTAACCTGTGACCATGACGGTGCGAATGTTGGCTTTATGCAAATCTTCAAGTACTGCAGGGGTTTCTTGCTTTAATTTGTTCTGCATTATAATTAATCCCATAAAATCCATGTTGTTCTCAATTGCATCTCTGCAGAAAAAGAAGTTTTAACACATAATGGTTTAGTCAATTGAGTAAGCAACTTATGTACACAAACTTGAAATATCTAAACAATTAAAAATGTCTATAAGTTATAATGCAGTTTAAAATATCTATAAATGAAAACATTTTATATGCTGAATAAACCACGTGTGTGTTCAAGAGTTCAGTATCTCAATATAATAATCATTTGGAAATGTATGTCACTGTACACTAAACAATTCTAATACTAAGGAATATTCATTTTGTGTAGTATCCAAAAATAAGCATAAATCTATTCTTTACTGCCCTCTACAACATATCCTAATTTAAATGTTAAGTGAAAAAGAAAAAACTGTGCCACAAGCACATTCAATACAGTTTTCGTGGATTCATTATCAAGTCTCAGATCAATTCTATAAAACAATTACTGATCCTGAAAATGTGACACAAGAACCATTAGCAATCCAACAATGAGATCTACTTGGGACCCAGAGATGGGTCTTTGAAAATATTACTAATATAGTTATCAAGATGCTATTCTTTAAATAACTGAGTATCAAGAATGCAGCAGGCACTATGCTAGTCACTGGGAGGTTAAAGACAAAAAGGGATGATCTCTGCTCTCAAGACACTTGGGTGGGGAAACAGACATGCAACCAAAGAGATGCACACAAAAATAGTACGTGCTTTAGCACTATAAAAGAGATGAAGTCTGTTCAGTGATAGTTACGTTCTTAAGAAATCTCAGGTCAGGCATTGTAGCTCATGCCTGTAATCCCACCACTTTGGGAGGCTGAAATAGGAGGATTGCTTGAACCTAGGAGTTTGAGGCCAGCCTGGGCAGCATAGTGAGACCCCGTCTCTACAAAAAATGAAAAAACAATTAGCTGGGCATGATGACATGTGCCTGCAGTCCCACTACTTGGAAGGCTTGAGGAGTGAGGATCATTTAAGGCCCAGGTGGTCAAGTCTGCAGTGAGAAGTGTTTGTTCCACTGCACTCTAGCCTAAGCAACAAAGAGAGATCCTATCTCAAAAGAAACAAACAAAAAAAGAAAACAAACAAAAAACACCTCAACCTACCTGAATTATATCATAGAAATTTTTTTCTCAATGGGGAAGGAGGAGGGTCTGAGGTCAGAGACTAGAATTTCAGACTTGGAATAACCAAATGATTTTTCTGACAAAATTCCAATAAAAGTTGCTTGAAGTATGTATCTATGAAATCTAAAATCTTTGAAACACCTAATTTCTAACAATGGGTGGTAAGGATATTAGAGAATAGTTGAGAAAATTAATATAAATGAAACTGCTGGTTTTAACAGCAGGAAAAAGCCTTGAAACCTGAAATTGTATTTCAAAGCCCAAAGCTGTATCAATGTGAAGACAATGTGTCAAAAGCACTAAGCCGCTTTCCTTCAGGCCCCAGTTTCTGGCTTCAGCTCGTCTCCTAACTCTCTCACACCGTATGAACGATACAGGTCAAGGAAATCTTACCCTCTAGTTAGTGAATAGTCCAATATTCAAGATATAAAGGCTTAAGCTATAAGGGAAATGCTAAAACCTGTTTCTACAAGGTCAAATGGAAACACAGAGGTCTCGGTGGAAGAGTAAAGAAGAAAGGGAGTAGAGAAAGAGAGGAAAGTTAACAAGGAGGGACAGGGTATCCTCAGCACAAGGAACAGTCTATCCAATGTCATGGAAGGATGTCTCAAGATGACACACCTAACAACTATAGGCAGCCGGGTGCAGTGGCTCACGCCTGTAATCCCAGTACTTTGGGAGGCCAAGGCGGGCAGATCACAAGGTCAGGAGTTCGAGACCAGCCTGGCCAACATAGTGAAACCCTGTCTCTACCTAAAATACAAAAATTAGCCAGGCATGGTGGTGTGCACCTGTAGTTCCAGCTACTCAGGAGGCTGAGGAAGGAGAATCGCTTGAACCCGGGAGGCGGGGGCTATGGTGAACTGACATCGTGCCACTGCACTCCAGCCTGGGCAACAGAGCGAGACTCCGTCTCAAAAGAAAAAAAAAGAACTGTAGGCAATTCAGTAATTAGTGTTTATGGGGGAAAATGGCAAAGGCATCCACTGTCTTATCCCCTAGCACCCTTGCTAGTGTGAAGCTATAAATTAAGAAGAGACTAATGTGTCCTTAGTAGGAATTAGGATATAATATTATACCCATTTGTGGTTCCCGACATGCATATGTATCACATAATTTGGGTAGAGGTTTTTCATTTTTTTTTTTTAAACTCATGCTTAGACCTCACCACCTCCCCCAAATAGGCAGAATTAGCAGGACAGCCAAGTGACACTCCTTTCTGCTTACAAAATGCTAGGTACATCATGAAATATTCCTAAACAAAAATGCTATCCTCCAAGGTAGGTCTGTATCAGTTACAGTCAAAGTGACAATCCTTGAATATGACACTGTCATTTGACGGGGGGACATGGAGAGTACTGGGGATTAGGAAAGAAGTGGAGTGGGAGGAGCTTGGTTACTATGACTCATTATATTCTGATCAAATTAGTAGTTATATCCAACCACTGGGCAAAAGTGAGAAGATCAATTGGTGAAAATAAACTTCTAAAAAATTACATTTACTGTTCTTGGAATGTGCCTGACACATAGTGGGCACATAATAATTAACAAATTGAAAACAGTTTCAAAGAGCTCTAAGGAAAAAACATGATGTTACAATAACATAAGGAAACATAGGTAAACAGTCAACACAGAATGATCACTTAAGGCCAGGAGCTCGAGGCCAGCCTGGCCAACATGGCAAAAACCCCTACTAAAAATATAAAAATTAGTCAGGTATGGCGGCACCCGCCTATAATCCCAGCTACTTGGGAGGATGAGGCACAAGAATTGCTTGAACCGGGGAGGTGGAGGTTGCAGTGACCCGAGACTTGCGCCACTGCGCTTGAACCGGGGAGGCGGAGGTTGCAGTGACCCGAGACGGCAGTGCCACTGCACTCTAGCCTAGGTACGGGGTGAGACTGTCTCTCAAAAAAAAACCCAGAATGAAAGGAAATCAGGCAGTGGGGAAAATGTACTTTTACTTCAATCACCTAAAACAATATTATATTAGATATCTTTTCATACATTCAATAAATACTCAATTACATGCAAATTACTGTGCATGACTAATATAACCATAAATGATGATGACTGGGAAACTAGGAAAGCCGTTCAACCTCACCTGCTAATATTCTGTACTTTATGCCATGTCAGTTTTGACTCCAATTTTCTGTGTGCAAGAGCAATCACACGGAAGCCCTGTTTAGTGAAGTCTTCCAAAACGTTTTGAAAATCGACAGGAACTTTTTAAAAGAAAGAGTAAATTTCATTGTTAGAGTTGCTAATACAAGTTTACTCAAATACCAGAATTGTACCCAAAGCATAGATATTTCCTTACCTGTTTCAGGTTTACAGAGACCGGCAATGGCCTCGGGCGCTCCTTTCATGTAGGCGTCCATTTTCCTATCCCCCAGCACCCTGGCAACCACACTCATACGTTGCAAAGCAGAAGAAAATGGGAACTGGCGAACAATTCCTATCTCATAAGTAGCCTATATCATTTCAAAAGAGGCACAAAGCACTTAATATTCTTAAAGAATCAAAACAAATATACTTAGTAAGAAGTAAACATTCTTCACTTACTGGAAGTTCAAACAGCTCCTAAAAACGAAACAAAACAAGAAAAAATAGTACAGATTAACTCTATTAACACACTAAAGTTAGAAAAAGTTTACTAAGCATCCACAAAACATTATTTGGAAAAGAAACAAGCAACTGTTTTTCAAAGTCAGGATTCAAGATTCCTTCTATACTACTTCCCATTTTTAAAAAGTATGTTCTTAAATATTTTCAAATGTTCTGCTATCCTGAAAATATTAACATTTTAAGTACTAAAATAAACTAAGGGGTGCAAGCAAGTGTACATACCAAAAAACACAAAATAAAAATTAAAAAATAATAGGCTGGCTGGGCGCAGTGGCTCACCCCTGTAATCCCAGCACTTTGGGAGGCCAAGGCAGGTGGATCACTTGAGGGCAGGAGATCGAGACCAGACTTATCAACATGGTGAAACCCCATCTCTACTAAAAATACAAAAATTAGCCGGGTGTGGTGGCGTGCGCCTGTAATACCAGCTCCTCAGGAGGCTGAGGCAGGAGAATCACTTGAACGCAGGAGGCAGAGGTTGCAGTGAGCTGAGATCTCACTACTGCACTCCAGCCGGGGTGACAGAGCGAGACTCCAGCTCAAAAAATAATAATAAACTCTGGAAAGAACAAATATAAACAGGAAGGAAAATGAATTACCCAGAATCTTGCCAACCAGTTATACAAATAAGATAAAGTGGTGTTTATTAGAATCTTGGTAAATTTCTTGGATATGTAATACTTATACATGTAAAAAAAATTTCAGGTAACTTAAAAAATAGTAATAATAAACTAAGGGGAATATATTTAAAAATTCACCTAAAAGTAAAGCCTTTCATACATACTTTTTATTAAATTCTAGGAATACAGATGCAATTTAAGAGGATTAACCACCAGCTGTATAAATCACAAGGCACTAAGCTGCTCAGTAAACAGGAAAGAAAAGTGATAGTACTGAGAATTATATCTCAACACAGAGGTGTAGTTTCTGATAAACGCAGTTAAAATATTCCTATCTCTGCATAAGAGTTAAATAAAGGACTTGTGACTTCCTCTTCTAGCAACATTTCAAAATGAGAATTAAATGTAAGTAAGCAGGCTGGGGGTGGTGGCTCACACCTGTAATCCCAGCACTTGGGGAGGCCAAGGTTGAGGGGGATCATTTGAGCCCAGGAGTTTGAGACCAGCCTGGGCAACATAGCAAGACCTTGTCTCTATAAAAAATAAAAATTGAAAAAAATTAAAAATAAATATAAGTAACCACCAACAGTTTTATCTAGCTTTAAGTGATTTCTCACCATTTCTTGGTTTCCTGCAGGGGTAGATTCAGGAAGCAGTTGTTTGGGAGGACGAACCACTGTGGGCATAATTCGATTATGAAGTGCTGTTTCTTCTTCAGTTGCTTCTTCCAGAATCTGGAAAAAAAAAAGAGACAAAAAAAAACAAAAACACAACATTCAAGCACTGCTTCATAAAACTGAATTCATGGTTCCATTTTTAAATAGAACATTATGGCCATTTTCAATAATTAAAAAAAATGTATGTCCAAGGAACAAATGAGCACTACTGGATCACTAACATAAGTAAAAGAAAATATGAACAAAGATGGTGAGTTAGATACCTAGCAACCCATGGGAGAAGGGTTGCTTCATTCAGGGTTAGAAGCAGAATAAAGAAATAGAAACTGATCTCACTTCACTCTTACAACTTGTTGGGTTTAGAGACTAGCTCTGCAAAAGATAAAAGGTTCTTGTAGTCCCCAGAATTTTCAGGCTCATCCAGTGATTCCTTTCTGCTACCAAGAAAGGATTCAAAAGTACATAGAGCTCAGATATGGTTAGCAGAACCGCTGGGTCAAGAACAGGCTAAAGCACAAAGATATGAGTTTAGAGTTTCTCAGCTTGAATACTTCCAGTTAAGCTAATACTTTAAAGAACCTTTTTTGGTGAAAAACATTCGAAGAAAAACGTATATTAAACACACACTATAATTAGTGGGATCAATAAATGAGAAAACAATAGGGAACTGTGAAAAATTAGCCAATTTTGTACAATTCTAAGACACCTTTTTTCGTATCTTAACATCTCTAAAACTGGGATGCATCTTGTATCATATGACATCTGCATCTTGTATCATATGACACCAATCACATCAAGTCACAGTTGTGACTGGCTATGTGAAACCATTTCACGGATAAGTAAGCTCTGGTGGGATCAAGCATCAAAGCAACTCAGGGCCAATGAAATATGCCATTATACACATTTTCTTAATTTCTTTGAAGATACACCAACACTGAACACTAAATCTACTGAAAATCTATTCAGTTGGAGAAAAGCTTAGAGAAGAACGATAAATCAGCCCATTTTTGTTATTCTCTCTATAAATGAAGTGAGGCCTCCTTTTCAGAATTAAACTTCAAGAGTGTTTACCATGGACTTTCAGTAGTTGGCAGATGGAGCACTTATCCAGTCACCTCCTCCCTCTCTCCCTTTCAAAATGTGGGTAGGGAGGGAGGGAGGTGGGGAGGCAGGGAAGAGGGAAGGGAGGATCCTGTAAATGTAAACAGAAAACAAACCTGAAGGAAGGGATTTCAAATATGGAAACAAAGGGCAAACTGAAACCTATGGATGGATACAAACGGGAACGAAACAGTAGCCCAGAACAAACACAAGATACCAGGTGAGGCAGGAACACTTATCAGCCAGAGTAGCTGAGCTAAAGAAAGCCAAACAAAAAACCAGGGAGTCCTCCTCCAGAGACATAAACTGAATGTCTGACAGAGCAAAGGCTGCTGACATGAGGGTGAGGATTCCAGAGTACAGAGCTCCACATGTGCAAGCATGGTGAGAATGGGTGAGGAAAGCAACGGAGAGGCTAACTCTGAAACTATTCCTTTGAAACTTTAAGAACCCCTGTCGATAAGACCCCACCAGACACAGAGCAAGCACCATCCCCCATCCCCCAACAAGCCTTCACGATCAGAAACACTAACATACATATGGGCAAGGGTAAAATTTGAAGTAGCTCACTGCAGCTATGCAGAATTACCAAATCAGATCTTCATTTTTAGAGTAAAAAAGTGCCATCCAGATGTACAATGAAAACCAAGAGCATGAAGGAGAGACACCAGCCATGGGGTGGGGGCCAGAGGAGACCATAACCTCAAAGAAAATAAATAATTCAGAAGCCAGAAGGGAACTCTAAAATGAACTGACTTTGTATTTATAAAAGAAGAACTGAATGCTGTAAAATGATAACAACCAGAGAACGTAAGCAGGCACTTAGAAATTAAAAGTCCCAATGGCAAAAATAGAAGGAAGTTATAAACAAACAAAAACATGTGCATGTATGTGGACACAGTAAACAAAAGACAGGTAAAAAAGAGCAATGAAGACAAACGACTTTATACACCTTTGCCTGTGGCCAAGAAATTGTGTCAGTTGAGATCATCTTACTGGCTCTGCTCTACCCTCCCCAAGTTGCTGACCCCTGGTTTACCTTAAACACAAAGCAGGGGCCTGAGCTGGTCAGCCTCTATTAAAGGTGTACTAAATGGGTTAACTAAAAGTTACTTTTGCATGATTTTTAAAATATTTCTCCAGTTGATGTAGCTTTAGAAATTACATAGCTCCTTTTAGGGTACAAGATAGACTGTCATTAAAACAAAAAGCAGAAATAATCCTTGTATGAGGTAATTTAATTTTTAACTATTATTTTCCTAAAGTTATTTGTATTTTAAAATATTTGACTTACCCATCCAATAGCCTCAAACATTTTCAGATCAAGTGGATCACCAGAGAGCACTCCTTCAATTTTTGTAAGTGAATGACAAGTAGCCATACAAGCAACAAACTGGGATTTTACCAACATCTCATTGCACACATTTTCTTCTGGTGAAAGAAATCTAAGCAGAAGACACACTGAATTAGTTTCATAAATTCTAAGATTCAAGATAATATTCTAACAGGGCTTTTCTGGTTTTGTAATTAAAAAAAAAATCTTTTAAATCCCAATCTGAGCTCCTAAGAAAGAGAAACTGTCAAGTGTCAGAAATACAGGGAAAAGAAAACCAGAGGGGTGTGAACTTGAGCTGATGCTATGGCTGCTGGGGGGATGAAGGGAGGGGGCCATCTCAGTAAACTAAGAACTTGGGATTTAATACCCACAAAAGGACAGGAAACAAAGTCTGGCCCCATGCAAAGTGGGTAGCTGGTACTGAAAGGATCCCTCTGACTCAGGAAAGCCAGTACTCTTGAAGAGCTACACGCCCTTGGGAAAAGGGCAGATGAGAAAAAATTCACCCACAGACCTAAAGGCATTAATTATGAATAAGCTTGTCTTTTTCCTCACCCAAAGTCCAAGAAAATAGCTAATATCTGCATAATATTTACTATGCACCAGGCATTATTCTAAGAACTTTAAATTTATTGGCCCATTATCCTCACACCATAGAAAAGGTGTTTTATTACCCCCATTATAGATGAGAAAACTGAAGCAGGGTGGTTAAGTGACTTGTCCCAGGTTACACCGTCCATAAGTAGCAGAGCAAGGATTGAAACACAGGAGGTCAGTTAAAGCCTGTATGACACCGTTGATTACCACTGGGGCTCTTAGCCAAGCAAAGTCAGAACTTCTCCAGAGGGGAGCTCAAAGAAAATTCTGTTAAGAATGAGTCCATAATTTAAAGATGCGCTAGCAAACAATTCACCAAGAGTGTCAACAGACATAACAAAGACAGAATTAGAATCCTATAAATTTGGCCAGGGGCAGTGGCTGATGCCTGTCATCCCGGCATTTTGGGAGGCTGAGGCAGGAGGATCATTTGAGGCCAGGAGTTCAAAACCAGCCTGGGAAATATAGCGAGACACCCATACCAATTCCTATGTTTAAAATAAAAAAATAAAGAATCCCGTAAATTTAAGATAACAGAATGGCAAATCTGAAAGAATGCAAAAAGGGCATTTTAAAATTAGACATACAAAGAGTAAGACACTGTAGATGCGAGAGTAGGGGTGGGAGCAGACTTGGAAAGAACCAAGTAAACCATGTGTTGTCCAACACATGGTTAGGATTCCCAGAAGGAGAGAAAACAAAACACAAGGAAAAGGCCATAATGGAAGTAAAAAAGGCCTGAAAATTTTCCAGAATTTATGAAAAACATGAAAGCATGAAATCAAGAAGCATCATGAATCCTGTACACACAAATAAAAAGATCACAGTGAATCTGCAGAAATTAAGGGTGAAGAAATATTCTTCAAGCAACCAGAGAAAAAAAAGATTACTAAAAAGACTAAGATTTATCAGTACCAATTAACAAAAGGTATTAAGAGAAATGAAATAACAGCTTCATAGTATTGAGAGAACACAAATGTCAAACCTAGAAATCTGTATAGTTACACTACCACCCAAGTGACAGTGGGCTGCTCTGCCTATGAAGGAACCATTCTTTATTCCTTTACTTTCTTAAATTTGCTTTCACTTAAAAAAAAAAAAAAGAGTGACAGTGAAACAAAGCAAATGAATGTAGTTACAGAAGATGGCAATTTACACAAGATGCAATGGTTAAGGCATTAGTACACCTAGGTAAATCTAAGCATGCAGACTGTATAAGACCAAAATAATAATCAGAAAATATTATGCAACAAATACATATAGGAAGGGAGGAGAATAACCAAAAGTATCTTACAGTCCATAGGTTTGTTTTGGGGGGCAGGGGAGTGGTTAAAAGGCAGTATTAACATCCATGAACTTTAAGTATAAATATTGATAATGTAAGAACAAGCAGTATAAGATTGGGATGCATAAAGTGAGAAAATGAGAGAAAAAATGAGAATGTGAAAATGTGTATGTAAATTGGGGGAGCAATGGTAGAAATAATTTCTAATATATCTGAATAAATGTGCACATCATGGCACAGAAAGACTGAAAAGTAAACAAGTGGCAAAACACACACTAGGCAAACATCAGGCAAAAGAAAGCTGGTATAGAGCTATATAATTATAAGACAAAACAGAATTTAAGGCAACATGCATTACTAGAGATAAGAAAGGTCACAACGTGACATACTATTTTCCAAGACACAACAACTCTTGAAATTACATTGGCCAAACAATACTGTCTCTCAAGCTATATACACCAAAATTTAGCAGACTTTTGACAGGGGGAGGGGGGAAGACACAAACAAAACTACAGGAGTAAAACTTCTGAGCTTCAAAAAGCAACAGAAACAAAAGTAAAGAGATGAGCCAGAGACTAATAGGATAATTTTCAATACACAATATTGAAAAAGATTCCTATCCAGAAAATAAAAAAGACCTCTAACAAATAAGATAGACTTCCCAACAGAAAAATGAGGATATAAACACACAATACACAGAAGAATGCTAAATGACCCTCCCTCCAAAATGTGAAAAGATGCTCAATTTTATAAGAAATGAGAAGAATGTAAAAACCACAATGTAATACTCATATCCATCCATCTGGCAAAAATTACAAGTCTGACAATATTAAGTTTGGCAAGAATGTGGAGTAAAAAGATCTTTACCCACTGAGAGAGAAAGCATAAAGCTGAAGCCGTGCCCATGCTACGGCCCAGCCTTTCCATTTACAGGGATCTAGCTTACTGAAACTCAGCCACATGCCTACAAGGACTTATGTGTAAGAACTTTAATTCCAGCACTATTTGCAACAGTGCAGAGAAAAAAGAAGAAAAAACAGAATTGTCCCTTAGTAGAAGAACAGACAAGGTTTAATCATTCAATGGAATAAGACAGAGCAGTTAAAATTAATAAACTAGATCTGCACATATCAACATGGATAAATCTTGAAAACAAAGTTTGGAGAGGGGAAAAAAGCAGCAAAACATATGTACAGTATATCATTCATGGATACTTATTTATAGATTTATACTTAGAAAAAATATAAAATATGCAAAAATAATTTCAGAATGGCAGTAGGAATTGGGGAAGGGATACAGTGGGACTTTGGCAACTTCTATAATATTTTAATATTCTAAAGGAAGCGATCTGAAGCAAATATGGCAACATGTCCACGGTTTAATCCTGGTATAGGTACACAGTTGTCTATTACTTCCTTTATGTTTGAATGTTGCACATGTTAAAATATTAAAAATAAACTAATAAACTATCAAGTCTAACTAATATTTACCGTGCATTTTCCACTCGTTGAATCCCCCAAAGATCTAAACCATCTTCAGTTAGAGTTCCAGTCTAAAAAACAAAAAAGCACACATGCACAAAGTATGGATGATGCCTCAAAAAAAAACCCAAAAATAAAAATAAAAAGCAACCACACAGCATTAGAAACTATGCTACATATAACATAATGGAGTTCTACAGAGTTAAAAAAAGAAACAGGCAAGATCCCTGACAGAGAATGGCTTCCAGGACATATGGTTAAAGTGGGAGAGGGGGTGCAAACAATGATCACAAATCTTCTGCGTAAGGGCAGAGAGGGGTATATATTTACGTGCTTATACTATCAAAAAAAAAATCAATGGAAGGATGCACCAGTTAACCTATCTTATCAATCAATAAAGGATGCCTATAAAGCAAAAAAGGAAGGATTACTGTATAAGGAGGGCCAAGAGGAACAGGTTAAAGTACATCAGGAGGAAGCAACTGGCCAAATCCACAAGGTAAATGACCTGGTTTCTTCAACAAAATAACTGGAGATAAGGGGTAAGTAAAGGCAATTGTTACATGTTAATTGTAAGCAATGTAATCCCTATTTGGATTCTGACTGAAAAATCAACTAGTAAAAATTAGAGATATGAGGAAATCTCAACTGGATATTAGAAAAACTAAAGAATTGCTAATTCTGTTAAATGTGATAGTGATATTTTAAATATCCTCTAGACACATACTAAGGTAGTTATGAGTGAAATAATGTCTGATGCTGTCCCCTTCAAAATGAGCAGATAGATAAAATAAGACTGACAATGTGTTGATAACTGATAAAGCTGGGTAATGAGTAAATGAGTGTTTATTATACACACATCTTTTCTCCACTTTTGTCTTAAAACTTTTAGGAAAGTTTCCAAAAAAGACAAGCATAAGTGAAATTTTTTGAACTGATAAATATGAAATAATTGTAGCAGTATGTGACATATTTTTTTCTAACAGAACATGTTTCCCATTTTTTTCTGTAATAATGAAATGCACAAAAATCAAATTTGTATCACATCAGTTACCCAGAAAAGTTTGATAGAAGGTTTTCTGGTCAAAGTTTAATTCTCAGAAAACTTTAAAGAAAATTCCAGCTCAGGAAAGGAGAAACCTTTCTAAGAGGCAAGATATACTTCACACAGGTACATAATTTGTCATTTTCACATAAAATCAGTGACCTTCATAATTCTTAAACATATTCAATAAAATCATACAGCAAACACTAAACATACACACTTACAAGCAATAAAATCATAATAAATATATATGTATGGAGCCTATTGTGTTAAATAAGAATTACTGTCTAAAAAATTAAAGGTCACGTAATCTTTACTGCTACTACTATTAATACTACTAGGCCTAATTCTGGAGTTAACTGAAGCTTTGAGCAAATAAGCAATATCCAAAGTATTAAAAATTGAGAAAATAAGAAATATAGCATGTCCTCAAATACGATTGTTTTGTCCGTCTTTTTTTATAACACGATGGGTGCCAGTGGTGGGGAGAGCTGAGGCCCAGCCGCGACCACTATCTACATGGAGTTTGCATGTTCTCTCCCTGTCTGCATGGGTTTCACTCCAGGTACTTCAGTTTCCTCCCACATCAAAGCTACGCAAGTTAAGTGAACCAGCACATTTAAATGGTCCCAGTCTGCGCGAGTGTGAGTACACCCTGCGATACGATGGCATCCTGTCTAGGGCTGGTTCCTGCCTCGTTCCGCCAGTTGCTGAGATACGCTCCCACTACCCAGGAGCCTGAAATAAAACAACTGGGTAAATAATTACCTTACTTGTTTTTATTTCTTTCTTAAATGAATGTATAGCTCATATTTATTTCAATGATTAATATCAGAAGTGTTTTAGATCTTTATTTAGAAGTTTGGTGATTTTTTGTGACCAAAATATGGCATAGGAACTTAAATCTCATTTGTATCAATTAGCCTATGGTAAAACTGGTTTCATTTCATTTAAAGTTGCAGTTTTCAAGAACCTATCAGTAATGTTAAGTGAGAACTTATGGTATAGAAAAATGATGCATATACCAAATAAGTGGAGGAAAAGGAAAATTAGAGGAACATGACAGAATGTGTCCAAATTTGTTGACAAAGAAAATAAAAAACATTGATCTAAATATTTAAACGCTACGAAGTAACCTTTGAAAGTAACTATGAAACTGAACCCACCTTGTCAAAGCAAACAAGATTGAGCTGTCCACAAATATTTATTCTTTGAGGACTGATACAGAAAATACCGATTTTTTTCAGTCTTCTCTGAGCATACACAATACCAGCAGTCATTGCAGCAGGAAGTGCAGGGGGCACAGTAATTGTGATAATATCAAGAGACTCGATAATTATGACCCCAACTTGTACCTACAATTAACACAAAAATAAATGTCAAATCCCCAGTATTATTTACGGATTTAATATGGGTATTTCTTTAGTGAAAATCTGTAAGCCATTTTCAATTGTATATTTCAATTTTATGTATGTGTGTGTATATACATATCTATTAACCATATATAATTTTTTTCTTCAGATATTTCTGCAAAATAAAAAAGCTCAATGGATTATAGAATGACAGCTACTTTCAAAAGAAACTTATCTCATTTTCAAGGCGCTACATACTTCACACATGACACACTTCAAAGCCGGTCAACAATCATTATCAGATATTGACTCAGCGTGCACACACCTTACTGTACCACTCTCCACTTCTGACAAGCGGCGCCTTCAATTAACTAACCACAAATCATTTTAACACTGTATATTACATCTCAGAGGTAAAAAAGAGAAAATAAAGCTTTTGGTGATTATGTGGGGGGGTTTTTTTTCCTGTTTTTTTTTTTTAAAGTCACAAGACCAAGTAAAAGACCATCTAAACCAGAGGCACCCAAAAGAAGTATCCTTTACAATGGAAATGTTCTATAGCTGGGCTTTCTAATATCATAGCTACTAGTCTCATGACTTTGTTAGCATTAAATTAATTAAAATTAAATTAGCTTAAAATTTTAGTTCCTCATTCTCAGTAGCCACATTTCAAATCCTCAATAGCTGCATATGATAAATAATTGAGGTTCAAACCCTATTAAGAGTCCCACATACATACCTCATTTAAAATGCTATTAATAATAGTGTAGATAAACCCAATGCCAGCAACTGCCACAAGACATAGTAGAAACAAGTAGGCATCTCTGTAGAGTTTAAAATCAGTTGGTTTGGGATACAATATGGAACGAACAAGCTGTCCTTTGGAAGTACTAAATCCTTTCAAAAAAAGAAGACAATTATTGATATTTTTATAAGAAAATGAGAATTATCTCCCAAAACAGAATCTCTCTTTTTTTTTTTTTGAGACAGAGTCTCGCTCTGTCACCCAGGCTGGAGTACAGTGGTGTGATCTCGACTCACTGCAAGCTCCGCCTCCTGGGTTCACGCCATTCTCCTGCCTCAGCCTCCCGAGTAGCTGGGACTGCAGGCGCCCGCCACCAGGCCCGGCTAATTTTTTTGTAATTTTGGTAGAGACGGGGTTTCACCATGTTAGCCAGGATGGTCTCAATCTCCTGACCTCATGATCCGCCCACCTCGGCTTCCCAAAGTGCTGGGATTACAGGCGTTAGCCACAGCACCCAGCCCAGAATCTCTTTTTAAACATTTAGTAGGTATCAAATATGCTGAAACATGCAAAAAGAGATTAATTAAGATGTTTCCTACCTGTTCTAACAACTATGGCTTTGACGAGTTCTCCAGTGTAGAAACGAGTCTGAATAACAGTTGTCCCACAAAACAAAGTATGTCGTTTATGTGTTTCTGGATTATATAATTCATCTCCTATTCCTTTCACATCCACTGAAGGATTTGGCAAATTAGTCTTTGTCACTGGAACACTTTCTCCTTTAAAAAACAACAACAACAACAAAAACAGTTTACAAATTATTAAACGAAAGCACAGGAATCAGTATCGAACACCAAAAAATATTAAATTGTTAAATATTTTAAATGCTACCATACTGTTTACAATAATCACTGAGAGTTGTATATGTGGACAACATGGCTTAATTTTTTGTCTACCAATTTCCTCACATAGAAGTATCAAATATTATCTCCCACAATAATTCCAGAAAGTGATTTGTGGCTCAAAGGTAATATTTGTTTATATTTAGAAACAGTTGCATTGTTCAGTTTCAAATAATTTCAAAAAAGATTAAGTAGTTGCTATAGTCCCTGCACCTCTAAGAACTAATGGTAACAGTGGAAAGCACTGTACAGAAGAGATGTGAGGGCCTACCCCGATCCACCCCTACACACACACACACACACACACACACACACACACACACACACACACAGAACAGAAAAGACAGCTGGGCAAAAAAGAGATGTGAAAATGAGTAATGTGGTGGTTCTCTCAAACAACCACAAACAGCCAAATTCTTTTTAAAATTAATTCTCTGCAGCATTCACATTTCTTGCTTCAAAGAAGGCATGTGTGTCAGATATGTATTTGTTTGTGTGTTTTAAGATACGAGATATGTGTTTGTGTGTTTTAAGACACGACTCTTAACAGTTTCAAAATGTATTACATATAAATCATTTTCTAGCCAGATCAACTAGGACAATTAAAAAAAAAATTCACACGATTAAAATAAGATATTGGACAGGCACAGTGGCTCACGCCTGTAATTCCAACACTTTGGGAGGCCAAGGTGGATGGATCACCTGAGGACAGGAGTTCACGACCAGCCTGGCCAACGTGGTGAAGCCGTCTCTACTAAGAATGCAAAAATTAGCCATGCATGGTGGCACACACCTGTAGTCCCAGCTACTCGGGAGGCTGAGGCATAAGAGCTGCTTGAACCTGGGAGCGGAGGCTGCAGTGAGCCAAGATCGCACCACTGCTCTCCATCCTGGGTGACAGAACAAGGCTCTGTCTCAAAACAAACAAACAAAAAAAAAACAAAAAAAAAATCAAGCTCTACCTCAAGATTGTGAATTTCCAAAGGGAAGTCATTTTAAAGCCTGTATCTCCTCAGTTCAAGAAAAATATAAAATCTTTCTTTATTCCCACTTTTTACACATCAAATGGGGAACCAAATACTGTATGCCACATTTTCTGTGGGAAAAGGCCGCCTTTCCACTTCCCTAACCTTAAACCATTTCCTAAGGTCCAAAGAGTAGCCAGAGTGAGGTCAAGAGATGTGACCAACACTATAGCACAGTATCTAGTATTACAGCTGAGTATAATGCAGAATTCGGTCTACTCAGAATTTTAAATCTCCAATATCCAACATATTCATGAGTAAAGGTACAAATGACATAGCTAATTTTGAAAAGGCTTACTCACTAACTTAGTCATGATATATCATGAACAACTCATGTTGATATTTACTCATTTAGCTTACCTGTTAACATGCTTTCGTTTACAATGCAGGTACCATTAATAAGCACAGCATCACAAGGCATTATTGTCCCATTTAATGGAATGACCATGACATCTCCTGGCACAAGGTCGGTAGAAAAGATTTCTTCTATTTCTGAAATTAAAGAAAGAAAGAAAAATCTGAAAAAGATATTCTTTACCTTGGAAAAATACAGCAAATGCTATTCAGAAGTCATCTGATCTCAATAAGAAGTTTATAATGGGGTAAAATAGAAAAATCCAACAAATGGCAAGTTTTAACAAATAAGATTATTAGGCTAACAAAGCACGGTGTGTCAGCTAGTTAGTCTCCTGCTAGGACACCAGCTGTGCACCGGTGATGCCAAGTACCCTCTGACGAAGCAGGTTAAGTGTGCTTCAACACTCATGACAACCGTCCATGATAAATGGTGACTATTAGCCTAAGGAAGAGACACAATGAGTCCACAAAGGAGATGCCTGTGAAACAGGTCAAACAAACTCCGATTTCTATAATCCCTTGGAAACAGAAGGAAGCACTAGAAAACTTAGCATCTTTTCTTTTCAACAGCTTATCTATAATATTCCTTTTCTCACTGCCACTATTTATAACCTTCAAGTCTCATTGCCTCAATATTCCTAAATTACTCTTTTTAGATATTATTTTAAATATGAGTAAATTCATTAAATAAACACTGTAATATTTTATCTAGCTCATTATTTCCTTACAAATTTTAGTGAAACACTTTTAAAAAAAGATCTTCCCTCTGGTACAAGTTGGTGTTTGAAAAAAAGAAAAATGAAAATGAAAAGATCTTCCGAAGGGTGAAAGGCTTTTCTTTAGGGTCACCTTATATGTAGGTATTCTCTCTCTTTTCCTCTCATTCTCTAACACCCTCCCTCTCCCTGTCCAGGTTTAATACTGTGCTCAGAAGACAGTCACACTAGTTTATAAATGGAGATGGATGAGAAGAAACTTATTGTTTGTGATGTTAGCCTGTAAGACAAACACTCTTTCTTTCCTTTTTTTAAAAAAGGAAGTAATTTACTAAATTATGAGGGAACAACTTTTAAAGAATGACATTTAGTACATAGTAGATATTATCGATCTTCGTTTTAAAAATAAGATCCCTTCTTTTAAAAATTTGGATTTCTTTAAAAAGAAAATAAATCCATTCCTCAGATGGGAAGAAAAAAGTAAAAATTTGACTTTTCTTAAAGCTTTTAAATACCACTTGAAGTTCTACTCCTTTTAGGCGTACCAGAAAACAAGGTATCAATGACATGTAAGACTATACAAAGTGGGTAAGGAAGATTCAAGTTGAATGGTATGTCTGCCCTGGCATCCCCATTATATTCAGCAACAGCAGAACAAGAAGAGGAGAGGCATCAATAAGCTACACATCTTAGACTTCAGCTAAGGGAGGCAGATCTTCCTAGCTAGAGTAGCAAGTGGCCAGGAAGCACAGGGAAGGAAGCAATCTCTTGGGTGTAGTCTGAGTCAAGAAAATGGAGACTGATTTGGTGTTCTGAGTAAATCAAAGCGGCTTCTGCCTCCAAGGCCCATGATGCTGTGCTGCCTCCTTTACCTCTTCAACATCTTGCCAGACAAGTTACACGTCCAAAATATTACCATTCTTGCAAGCCTGCTTCTCTTCCAGTTTCCTATTTAACTAAACAGCACCAACATCCATCCACCTAGCCAGACACTGCTCCATGGCCTCATATCCAATGAGTCAAATCCTGTTCAATGGTCACATTTAAGTATCTTTTGAACTCATTTCTTTTCATCTCCGCAATTGCTACCTTGATTCGGGGGGGCATGTCTTCAGTATTACTCTCCTCTAAACCAGTCTGAATGTGGACGCCAGAATGATTTTTTTCCAAAGGGCAAGTATTTTATCACTCCTCTGCTTAAAACCCTTCAATGGTGGCTATGCATGGTGGCTCATGCCAGTAATCCCAGCACTCTGGGAGGCCAAGGCGGGCAGATCACTTGAGGCCAGGAGTACCAAACCAGCCTGGCCAACAAGGTTGACACTGTTTCTACTAAAAACACAAAAATTAGCTGGGTGTGATGGTGTGTACGCCTGTAATCCCAGCACTCTGGAAGGCCAAGGCGGGTGGATCACTTCAGACCCAGAGTTAGAGACCAGCCTGGCCAACATGGTAACACCCTGTTTCTACTAAAAATACAAAAAACTGGCTGGGCGTGGTGGCACATGCCTCTAATCCCGGCTACTCAGGAGGCTGAGGCACAAGAATTCCTTGAACCTGGGAGGCGGAGGTTGCAGTGAGCCAAGATTGCCACTGCACTCCAGCCTGGGAAGGAGACTCTATCGAAAAAATAAAATAAAATAAAATAAATTAATAATAATAGCCTTCAATGGCTTTCCACTGTCTTTTGGACTGAGCCCAAATCCCTAACATGCTTCAGAGAGCTATCCATCATTTATAGTTGCTGTATTTGTCATACTAAATTTCTTCTTTCAGTTCTTATAATGTCCACACAATCTCTAATTTCTAGGCCTTTGGGTATTTAGAACCCTCTTCTCTCCTTCTCTCAGCCTCCCCTTATCAACTTCTCACCTACCTCTTATTTGGCTAATTCAAATAGTCATCACTTACAAGCACTTAATCAAAGAAGTCATCCCTGATACCTACAGTAAATGAGCTCCCCTAATACATAAGTTGGCTGACTTCTCCTTATCATAGCATTTGTCACACTGTATTGTTACTGTTACTACTGTTATCTCTACACCGAATCCCCAGAGCCTAGCATAGTGCCTGCTACATAGAAGAAAAATACAATTTTATATAAATAAATGAATTTGATACAAACTCAGGAACTGAAATGTATACTTTTAGTTCTTAAAAAAATGAATGTATGTGCGAGGCAGAGTGGCTCAAGCCTGTAATCTCAAGACTGTGGGAGACTGAGGCAGGAGGATCTCTTGAGCCCAGGAATTCAAGACCAGCATGGGCAACACAGTGAGACCTCGCCTCTTCAAAAAAAGAGAAAAAATTAGCCAGGAATGGTGGCACAAGCCTGTAGTCCCACCTACTTGGGAGGCTGAGACAGGAGGGTAAGTTGAGCCACTGCACTCAGGCCTGTGCAACAGTGAGACCACATCGACTTTAAAAAAAAAAAAAAAAAAAAAAAGGCCGGGTGCACAGTGCAGTGGCTCAAACCTGTAATCCCAACACTTTGGGAGGCCCAGGTGGGCAGATCACTTCAGCCCAGAAGTCTGAGACCAGACTGGGCAACATGGCAAAACCCTGTCTCTAAAAAAAAAAAAAATAGAAAAATTAGCTGGGCATGGTGGCATGCACCTGTAGTCCCAGCTACTCGGGAGCCTAAAGTGGGAGGATTACTTGAGTCTGGGAGGTCAAGGCTGCAGTAAGCTGAGATTGTGCCTTTGCACTCCAGCCTAAGTGACAGAGACACTGACTCAATCAATCAATCAATCAAAGAATGTATATGTATTATACTTTGGGCTTACTTCACACATTATGCCTAACAGGTATCTTTTTTGATTTATTCTTCCAACATTCAATTACTTACCTTCATTTACTCTACAAACTGAAACTCTTACGGTACTATGAGTTGCCACCATGTCATGCAACATAACATATTGCTGAAAGAGGAAAAAGAAGTTAGAAACTAGCCAATATGAACCCACTCCTCAGGAAAAAAGCCAGAGTGCTAAAAAAATAAGTTAATTCAATAAATGCATATCACTCCATCTTTATAAAATGTCGAGTCAGAAATTCAGAGTATTCATTGTTTTAGTTCAAGACAAAACAAGAAGCACTTTAACAGGATAGCCCTGAAAACAGTACCTTCCAGTATTCCAGTCTGTGATCAGCAACTACAGATCCCTATGGTCTCTAGACAGTCAAGTGGTAGAGTCTTGACTCTACAAAGCACCTGCTATCCCCAACCTCCCAACCAGCAAAACAAACAAAAAGGGAGGGGAGAAGGAGCATATATTCATGCAACTAAAATAATGACTGCATTGAGAATTTACTTTGTGCTGAGTACTATTCTACACACATTAGATGTTACTACAAAATACAAATACAGTTGTGAAACCCATAATAAATTTGAACTTACCTTTCTAATGGAATATAGTGAGCTTACGATTGATACTATGGACATAACCACAATAGCTAGAGCATAGTAATAGTATTCATCAGTGCTCCACAGTATAACACTGAACAGCTGGAAAATGTAAAATGGGTTGAGAACCTAAAAAACAAGATTTTAAAGTCAAACTGAATGAGGTATTAATGACCATACAGATTGTCCATCTTTTCATTTGACAAACAAAAAGATACAAATATGTACAAGATAAGCTCCATAGTATTCTACGGCAAAATGTACTTCCCTAAAAAGTAGGGCAGGCTGGGCGCGGTGGCTCACGCCTGTAATCCCAGCACTTTGGGAGGCCAAGGCGGGCGGATCATGAGGTCAGGAGATCAAAACATCCTGGCTAACACGGTGAAACCCTGTCTCTACTAAAAAATACAAAAAAGTTAGCTGGGCATGGTGGCAGGCGCCTGTAGTCCCAGCTACTCAGGAGGCCGAAGCAGGAGAATGGCTTGAACCCGGGAGGCAGAGCTTGCAGTGAGCCGAGATCGCGCCACTGCAGCCTGGGAGACAGAGCGAGACTCCGTCTCAAAAAAAAAAAAAAAAGGTAGGGCAATATGCCATCATACTCTTATTATCATTAAAATACTAGAATTTGGCTAAATAAGGTTAATTTAAATTACTGGCATCCATTTAGATTCATACCATCCAAATATAGATTCAGCTAGAAAAGGCTAGTAAGTGTATGATTTTAGCCGTTCTGCAA
Source organism: Homo sapiens (assembly GCF_000001405.40). Lineage (NCBI taxonomy): Eukaryota > Metazoa > Chordata > Mammalia > Primates > Hominidae > Homo > Homo sapiens. The sequence continues at coordinate 194,455,000 of NC_000003.12, forward strand.
TCTGCTTTGGCAATAAAGTACATTTATTTCCAATTACTGTGCTCTGGGCTAATAGAATACAAAACTTTTAACGAAATTGAAAAATGTTTGCTTACTATAAACTCAAAACACAAATTTACTTATATATCAAAAGTTAACTGGAGGTCAAAGGAAAGACAAATATGAGTTAATGGGTTATGTTACTTTGCTTTCTCTAAGATAATAACTAAGTATTAAATCCTGAATGAAAAAGAGATAAAGGGAGACCTTGGCAATGAACTTCACCCACCCAAATGTCATGGTATTTTATCAATTTCATTAAACACCCCCCACCCAATGTCTTCAAATTGATGCTTCTGTACTTTTCAAAGCACTTTCATATATAGTCTCATTTTACCTCAAAACCAAATGAGATAATTGGAAAAAACTTATTCCAAGTTTATAGGTAAAGGAGCAACAGAGAGAATGTACTAAAGATCAGAGCTAGTTACTGATGGAACTACATTAAAATCAGGTCTTCCAATTCCTAATCACTACACTATGCTATGCTCATAAGCAACATTACATGGCCACTCCCAGGAACTGATGAAAAACAATCTTACTTCTACTCCTAAAAGTGTTCACCTAATACAACTAATTCTTGAGCTTTAGCCAAAAACCAGAATGAAGATTGGTGAGCCTAACTCTGCTAGACATTCAACAGGTAATAAAAGCAAAACTAGACAAAATTTTAAGAATACATGCCCCAGATTCTTTCTCTACCAGAGTAAATGTCTTCCGTCTTTACCTTCCAAGTAAAAATATGAAAAAGAGGTTAGGAAAAAGAAAACCAAGAATATTTTAATCACAACTCATTCCAAATTGACACATCCATTGATCATGACTGTTAAGTTATATACAATCAATAGTCTTACCTCTTTAATTAGAAGCTTAAAAACAGAAGGCACTTTTACAGCAATTTCATTTACTCCATAAAGCAGTTTTCTATAACAGGAAAATACATTCATAGTATTACATTATATCATAATAGTATAATTTACGAAAGGCATTGTATTAGGTAAGGCTTAAACCACAGACTGTTCTTATTCATGTCTCCAAACACCTGTCTTCTATAATTCAAACTCTCTACCTACAGAATTTAAAACAAAGAAGTCAATAGTAGATACCTATACTGGTAGCACTTAACTTCATTTTGTCTCACATCTTTATGTGTGACAAGTATCTTTCCCACTAGTCTATAATACCATGTGAGCAAAAGGTTCTCTTTTGCATCCTTGAACACACTAGATCTTAACAATTTTGAATTACAATTATTTTTTGCAAGAAGCCAAATAAATTTGAGGGATCTTATTTTTTTTTTAATATTGCACTAACAGTGTTTAGTTCAAAACATTGTACATTCGACTTTAAAAGAAAATGCTTTTAAAGTTTAAATGTTTCCACTTAATTCCTTATGTTACAATAGTATTTTCTATATGATAGAGTAATTCTAGACTTTTATGAAATGTAAGTCTAAATGAGTGAATTTTATGTTCTACCCCTTTGAAAGAACATGTTACAGAACTATAAGAAAATTTCTTATTGAATTTCAAAGTGGCATTTATCTTTAACATACGCAATACACTGGTGTATTTTTATGATTTAACAAGGAATAACACAATGAAGGAGATTATGTCTCCCAATTTACAATCTTTCATTACGGTGAATTTGAACTCATGCTTGTATTTCAGAAAATCTAAGGTGCTATCAATTGTAAGGCATACCATTATTATATGATCAAGAAAGATAAAAATGCTATCAAGAACGACACTTCACCAACTCTATGACACATCCCAATCTCAGAGATGTTAAAAGGTGGAAAAACGTGCACCTGGGAACTGATGAAATATGGTATAATTTCAGGGATACCAACTTCAAAATATCAGCTTGCACATTTTTATAATTCTTAAACTAAGACAGTCTTACCCAAATAAAACATCAATAAATTCTCAACTACTATGTCTGTAATATTTAAGTATCTGTTAATATGTACAACTATATGGTAAAGGGTTGATTATGTATACTACTGCTTTTAGGAATTTTGAGAAGATCTAACTTTAGTTGGATAAAAATTACCTGTAGGCATGCATCCCCTTTGTCAGTCCTGCACTATGCTTTTCATAAATTGACGTACAAGAAACACCTTCATCCAGTCCCCTAAATAAATCCAAAGTTTTTACTTTAAACAAAGTTTAAAATATCCAAATTTCTTAACGCCTCATTTTTCTATATGCCTGATTTTATAAAGGTGTGACTTCCTTACAAATCCTTAGAAACCCTTAACAAAAATTGAGATAACAAATGAGAATTTTTAAATCTCAAATTCTTAAGATAAACAATGACAAATCTAAGTCTCAAACCCAACTTCGAAGCTATTCAATATGTTTATTGCAGGATAGATGAGATGGCTCTAAATACTCAAATTTATATAATAATATCATTATCCTTAAGACTGTGCCAAAGCTGTAATAGCTAAAATTAAACTTTAAAATTTTAAGATAAAGTATAACTTGAGAATTCTAAACCAAAGATGAAAACATTTTACTTTTTAGCTACATAGTTTCTCCTTTTCAATTTTAGAGTCAAATTAAGAATTTCTATTCATTTTCTTCCATCTCCATAAAAGCATCAAGCCAAACCCTTCCCTAAATGCATACCTGGTTTGAAGTGCAGAATTTATGAGTCACAGACAATGCCTAAAATCTGTAATAATTCTAAGTGGGCTTCAACTAACACATCTACTTTTTCCCAAAATATCTTAATTATGCTTTTTTTTTTTTTTTTTTTGAGATGGAGTTTTGCTCTGTCGCCAGGCTGGAGTGCAGTGGCACAATCTCGGCTCACTGCAACCTCCGCCTCCTGGGTTCAAGCCATTCTCCTGCCTCAGCCTCCTGAGTAGTTAGGAGTACAGGCACACACCACCATGCCTAGCTAATTTTTGTAATTTTAGTAGAGAAGGGGTTTCACCACGTTGGCCAGAATGGTCTCAAGCTCTTGACCTCAGGTGATCCGCCCACCTTGGCCTCCCAAAGTGCTGGGATTACAGGCATGAGCCACCACCCCCCGCCTTAATTATGCTTATTTTAACTGAGATACCAGCTATAACTCTAAAGCAAAGAAAGTCTTACATATACTTAATTCCAATCCTTTTCCACACTTTCCACATAGGAAAGCTAAGCTTCATAATTCACTTCAATCAATGGAGTAAGTTTAAATTTTTAAGTTTCTATGGCTGGCAAAAGACACACAGTAAATATGTTTGACATTTCTTCCCACTGAATTTGATGACTTCTCCAGAAGGCAGCAGGGGCCAGTGCCAAGTCAAAAAAAAAAAAAAATTTTTTTTTTAAACAAAATGACAGCCCATTGGCAATTTTCTTTGTTTTTATGAGACGCAGTTTCGCTCTTTGGCCCAGGCTGGAACGGAGTGGCACAGTATCAGCTCACTGCAACCTCCGGCCCCCTGGGTTTGAGCGATTCTCCTGCCTCAACCTCCTGAGTATTTGGGATTATAGCCATCCATCACCAGGCTAATTTTTTTTGTATTTTTAGTAGGGACGGGGTTTCACCGTGTTGGCCAGGCTGGTCTTGAACTCCTCACCTCAGGTGATCCGCCCGCCTTGGCCTCTTAAAATGCTAGAATTACAGGCATGAGACACCATGCCCGGCCTGATTTTCTTTAAGGCAATAGTTCTTAATCAGGAATGGTTTTTAAAACTAGGCATGTAAAAATGCCCATGCCCATTCCAGAATGTTCCAATTCATTAGTGTATCTGAGTAAAAAATCCAGGTATGAATATTTTATTTTTTACTTCCAATAGAAACCTACAGGTATGAATATTTTAAATGTTCATAACATGATTTTCTTTTTACCGCTAAAATTAAGAATTCCTTTGGCACTCTAAAGCAACGATATTAATGAGTATTTATAATAATCATTTTAAGAGCAATAAAAACAGAATCTTAATGTGTACTTATATAACTTAAATCCTCGATTAAAAATAAAGGAATTACTACAGCTTGCCCCATTCTTTATCTACATAGTAAAATTAAATTTCTCTTTGCCTATTACTCTACTCCTCAAGTACCACAGGCTTTAAGTGTCAGTAAACCAACAGGTAATGATTCAGATACTCTAAGTTGAGACACAGGCTATGAGGTATACTCAAAATCACTTTGAGGTGAAACAGGTAAGAACTCAGACTCAGTAGACTTTGGCATCATACTGACTCTAAGTTTCATGTAAACTCTGCCATGGTGCAAGCTGCGGTGGGACTTATTTTAAAATGGCTAATGAGCCTTCAAACAGCAACAGGGAGTTGTTAATTAATACGTGAATAGAAATTATAAAATAAAACCTCAGCAATTTTATGAATACTAGAATGGACTCTTTTCTATCTAGAACGTTTTCAGGATATTCAAAATACAATCCAAACAAAAGGAAGATACTTACTTTAAGAAATCAAAATTGTGAATGGTATCATTCCAGAAATATTTTACACTATGGTGGGTGAAATAACGAATCTGTGGAACACAAATAAACGTTACACCAAAAAGCATATAATCACTTGTGATATGTAATCTGTTACTTCTATTAACAGCTATATATAGGATTATATATAGCATTATATATAGTAATATGTAATATTTTATATGCAGGTAAATTTATCTCAAGCATTAACTGCAAACACAAAATTATAGAATATACATGATAGCATAAAATGTAACAATTCTGATTTTTAAAGAAACTTTGACATTAAGATCACAATACCTGTTGTGATTCAGTCTGTGAATATTTACTGATCCTGTGCCTATTTTCTTCAGTGGGATTCTCAATTAAACAAACTGCATGGCCATTTGAAAGCTTATTAGACATAGATTTTGGACTTGAAACTGGGTAAGTTTCCAAAGAAAGAACGCGAATTTTTGCACAAAACCACATTTTGAATTCATCCTTAAAGAGAGAAAGGGATAACGGTAAGGAGTCAATTTTATAGAAAACTGCCTATATTTTCATTTATTTTCCATTCTTTACAAGACATTATTTCCTCATCTCTAATTGAGGAAACATCACGCCTACTCACTAAATATTAAACCATTTCATGAGGATGCTTAAATTCAAACATAAGGTGCTTTCCATTGCTCATGGTTTTTATGACATATTTTACCGATAAGCACATCAATACTTCATAAAATATCATGAGTAATTCCTTAATTAGTCTCTATATTTGGACTAAATATTAAAACCTCTTATAAAATGCTTCCAATTAGGGTTTTTAAAAAAGAAAAAAGGCTGAAATGCATCAGCATCACACAGCAGACAGGCAGCTGGCCTAGTGACCGAGATCTGGACTACAGTCCTAATGGACCAGCACCGTAACAGACAAGTAGCTAATCTCTCAGGGCAACAAGAGAGATGAAAGGAAGGGGGTGAATCTGATCATCTTTAAGATTCCTTTAAACTCTAATCATTATAATAATAGTCAATTCAAACACAAATCCTCTAGAAATACTAGAATTAGCATTCCTCATTTTATCCAGGCAGCGATGTTCC